>NC_000012.12:67460128-67611643 GCF_000001405.40 Homo sapiens
TTTTATATCACCCCCAATAAATATTTTCCTGTCTTTATTACTAAATTAGGGGCTTGTCCCGTTGTCTGGCCTTGAGGATTTTTCTACTAATATTTGTTGAAATTAAAAGAAAGCCAAGTCTTTTGAAGATTTAATACCATATTATGGCAACTCTTTCAAAGCTTTTGATGGAATATTGAAGACATATAATTATCATTATCAAAAATAACACCTCTAAATTGTACAATGTGAATTATATTTTGCCTGTAGGGAGCTTACAATCTATGCATTCAGCTGTAATACAAACACAGCTTAAGCCAAATAAATCAATAACCTGGTGCCTAACACTCAGAAGGATTAAATGCTGTCACTGAGACCTTGGATTTAGAAATAAAGGACGGAATTCTACCTATGCACACAGTCCATGCATATGAATGTCAACCGCAGAGTTTCCTAGACGATTATCAAGTGGAAGCAGTAAAAGTGTACTCCCTAAAAAGAAATATCATGGGCTGGGCGCGGTGGCTCATTCCTGTAATTCCAGCACTTTGAGAGGCCAAGACAGGCAGATCACTTGAGGTCAGGAGTTCGAGACAAGCCTGGTCAACATGGCAAAACCCTATCTCTACAAAAAATACAAAAATTAGCCAGGCATGCTGGTGTGTACCTGTAATCCCAGCTACTCGGGATGCTGAGGCTTGAGAATCACTTGAGCTCAGGAGGTGGGGGTTGCAGTGAGCAGAGATCACACCACTGTACTCCAACGTGGATGACAGAGTGAGACCCTGTCTCAAAATAAAAAGAAAAAAAGAAAAGAAAGAAAAAAGAAAAATAATGTTCATTCCCAATTTAGAGAAGTGGCATACTCCCTTTTTATTAAAATTCAAGTTTCAGGATATGAATTCTTTTTTGATAGTTGTGTCTTTTGCAGATAACGCTCTTCCCTTAAAGAACCAGGTTACAATAAGCGAGTATTTTTATTTTATCCTTTCTCATAGGAACAACGTGTTCAATCAACTACTTGCATAATTTAAGGCAAATTATTCTTCCAACAAGCCTACAACTACCTCCTCTGAGAGGGCAAGTGCTATACAGACCCATCTCTTGGAGATCTGATGAGCATTATATATTTATTTGCTTGTGACTTGAATAAGATGCATGACCTAAGCATGAATAAGCATACTGCAAACATATTTAAATAGATCAGTTTTTAGAACAGCATTTTCTAAGATTATCAAATTTATATTTGCTCCTCCCTAGTGCCTGGGATTATTGACTGGCTCTAAGGTCACCAGTAGGTACTTATTCTAGGGCTTCTGTTCAGTTTGACAAAACAATCTTGCATTCTTCTTTTTCCTACAAACATTCCATCACTTGTCCTAGAAATTATGTAAAAGAGAAACTCTAACTCAGAAACTGAAAAAGCAATTTAAAAAATTTTTAGAAAGGAGAAAAGAAATTTCTGAATGTAAGTGCTGGGGTCTAAAAGTCAGAGTGGATTTTCTCAGGCCTATTTATAATGGTTTAACCCAATCATGGGAATTTAAGACTGTGTACTTCTCGAAAGTGGCTAAAAAATGAAAGAAACACAAAATATTATTTTTCCCCCATGGCAGGCAATAAGGCAAGTTATTTAACATAAGAAACATACTTATTTTTTTCTCTGTATGAGATTAGCTAACCATCTCTCAACTCCGACAATGGCTTGTCAGTCTCTCTCTTATGTAAGAGTCCAGGAGCTGCCTTCTAGGATACCCACCAAATGGCTAGAGATGTATTGGTTGTATTCTTAAGTTTTACTTGATAATCTATTTTATGTTCATAAAGTTCTCTGAGTTATTTGCCTTTGCTTGTGGTAGCAGTGATGGCTCATCTCAAGGTTGCTGTCTTTTTTTTTTTTAAATAATAGAATGCCCAGAAAGAGGCTGAAAGAGAGTACCTAAGTAGCTATACCTATATAAAGGGACAGCTCCATCTGCTTTCTACCTGCTGTTACAAAGGCTTTCTGCCCCCTCCTATGTGTACAGGTCAGGATATGGTTGGTGCCAGAGACCAGAGGCACAGTAGATGAAGGCAGGCACAATTTTGGCACAAGGGGAGGCATTTTCACCACCTATCAAATTCTTTTCCTGTCTCGTTTTTGTCTCCCTCCACTTGTAAGAGCCCTAAAGGGAAGCTGAAGCTGTAGTCCATTATCCACCCAAAGGAAAGCAAGAGTCTAAAAAGAACTTGAAGGTCCAAAGGGGATTTTTCTGCAGAGGTAGCAGTAATTTTAATTAAGAGGGGAAAGCTTTGAAATGGGTCAGTTTATTAAGGACATCTATTGGCCATTTGCCTAGAAGTTCATTTTCCCTGCCCCACGTTATGGGGTGGCCCCTCCTCAGAGGCAGAGCTGGAACAGTGAGACACAGAGAGGAATCAGTGGCCTGAATGGCTGCTGTGATTATCAGAGCCAGGTGGCCAATGTTCCAAAGTTAGAGAGGTCATTGACTTGGCAGTTGTCTTCGCAAGTTTGTGATCTTAAAGGACTCCAAGACCTTGGACTTATTTTAAGGGAGCAGGTGCCAAACTGCTACCTTGAGAAATGGATGCATACACAGCAAGCACAGGAATGGGCACAGGTTGGCATAGCTTAGTGGGTTGAGATTACACAGAATAAACTGAGCCAAGTGATGGTAAATGAAAGATAACAAATGCAAAGTATGTGAAAATTTTAAACAAGTTATTGGTTGTTCTAGTTAGCCAGAGATGTTTCTCCAACCCAGCAGTATAATTCAGGCAAGATTATGCAAATACAAAGACCCCAGATATTAAAAAAATTATAGCAACATCAGCCAAACCAGATAGTACAGAAACAAATTAATGCAGGCTTAATGTGAGAAAATACTATAGGCAATACCTTTCTGGATGCAGGGCAGGTGTGTGGTTCAAGGAGCAACTGATAACCAAAGAACAACATACTACAAATGGCATCAATTCTTAAGTGACAGTAACACCGATGTTACACTTTTGTGATTTTGTGTGTGTTTTATGTATGTCTAATACATCTGTAGCTTAAAGATGACAGATACATGATCTGTGTCCCACTGCTGCTGCTTTCAGGGCCCTCTATAGGCATTTCTTATAGATTACACCACTTCCAAACTTGGAAATGGTCTCAGAACCATTCTCAACACAGGATTCAGAGTGATCAGTGTTGGCCTGGGAGGTGAAATCTATTTGTAGTCTCCCCAGTGCTTTTTTTTTTTTTTTTTTGTCTTCTCAACTTGTTTGTTTGCAATGTGTCAAGTAAGAAAGCTCTATTCAGCGTTGTTAAAATAGAAACCCTTGAACTGGGCATTGGGTCACTAGGTACTGGGACAAAGCTTGATAGCATCTCACCCTTTGATAAAATTATAGCTGATGACCAACTGTCCCACAAGTTCTGTCCCTATGTTGCTATGTTACCTGGGCTTACAAAAATGGCACATAAATAGGACAATCCTGCAGTCTTATCAAGAGAGAGTATTACCTTTGTGTGTGTGTGTGTGAGAGAGAGAGAGAGAGAGAGAGAGAGAAAGAGAGAGAGAGAGGGAGACCCTTACTATAGAGGATGATGAGACATGCAGAATTTTTGTTAACCCAATTGCAACTCTAATTCCTGCTCTCCTTTCCTTCTGCTATTAACGTTAAAACCAGAGCCCTTTTCTTTGAGGAATAGAATTGAATGCAGCGTGAGCCCAGATATGGCTCACTCTGGTTCCAAGATCCATGAGCTTATTTTGGGTACTCAGTGACAGCAGAAATGTACATAACTCCTTTCATCTAGGTACTTGTGTAGTTGTATAGCTGGGAAATGCCTGCCTCAAGTTATTCCTGTGGAGAGCGTGCCAAGAGAAGATATTCTTGCTTAAGCTTGTGGTTAAAATCTGTAATATGGCTATATTTCACAAGTTCTTACAATGGGGATTTTGCTTTTACCTTATCTCCCTTAACATATTCCATTTTTTTTCTGACCTCTCTCTTCTCTCCACCCCTTTTAAAAAAGTTAAAATTTTTTATTTTTACTTTTTGTGGGTACATGGTAGGTGTATATATTTAAATGTTTTGATACAGGCAATGAAATGTGAAATAAGCACATCATGGAGAATAGGGTATCCATCCCCTCAAGCATTTATCCTTTGAGTTACAAACAATCCAATTACACTCTTTATTTTAAAATATGTAATTATTGACTATAGTCACCCTGTTATGCTATCAAATAGGAGGCATATTCATTCTTTCCATTTTTTTGGTACCCATTAATCATCCCCACCTCCCCCACAACCCCCTACTACCCTTCCCAGCCTCTGGTAACCATCCTTCTACCCTCCATCTTCATGAGTTCAATTGTTTTGATTTTTATCCCACAAATAAGTGAGAACATGCAATGTTTGTCTTTCTGTGCCTGCCCCATTTCACTTAACATAATGATCTCCAGTTCCATCATGTTGTTGCAAATAACTGGATCTTTTTTGGCTGAATAGTACTCCATTGTGTATAAGTACCACATTTCTTTATCCACTCATCTGTTGATGGCCACTTAGGTTGCTTACAAATCTTAGCTATTGTAAACAGTGTTGCAACAAACATAGGAGTGTGATATCTCTTGGATATACTGATTTCCTTTCCTTTGGTATATACCCAGCAGTGGGATTGCTGAATCACATAGTAGTTCAATTTTTAGTTTTTAAAGGAATCTCCAAATCATTCTCCATAATGATTGTACTAATTTACACTCTCACCAACAGTGTACAAGAGTTCCCTTTTCTCCACATCCTCACCAGCATTTATTACTTCTTTTGTCTAAAAGCCATTTTAACCCAGGTGAGATGATATCTCACTGTAATTTTGATTTGCATTTCTCTGATGTTCAGTCATGCTGAGTGCCTTTCCATATACCTGTTTGCCATTTGTATGTCTTCTTTTGAGAAATGTCTATTCACAGATTTTGCCCATTTTTGAATCGAATTATTAGCTTTTTTCCTATAGAGTTGTTTGACCTCTTTATATATTCTAGTTATTATTTCCTTGTCAGATGGGCAGTTTGAAAATATTTTCTCCCATTCTGTGGGTTGTCTCTTCACTTGGTTGACTGTATCCGTTGCTGTGCAGAAGCTTTTTAACCTGATGTGATCTCATCTGTCCATTTTTGCTTTGGTTGCCGGTGCTTGTGGGATATTGCTCAAGACATTTTTGCCCAGACCAAAGTCCTGGAGATTTTCCCCAACGTTTTCCTGTAGTATTTTCATAGTTTGAGGTCTAGATTCAAGTCTTTAATCCGTTTTGATTTGATTTTTGTATACGGTAAGAGATAGGGGTCTAGCTTCATTCTTCTGCTATGGATATCCAGTTTTCCCAGCACCATTTATTGAAGAGACTGTCTTTTCCCCAGTGTATGTTCTTGGCATGTTTGTCATTATAGAGATCTTTCACATCTTTGATTAATTCCTAGGTGTTTAATTTGATATGTGGCTATTGTAAATGGGATTACTTAAAAAAATATTTTTCACCTTGATCACTGTTGGTATATAAAAATGCTACTGATTTTTGTATGTTGATTTTTTTGTCCTCCAACTTTGCTGAATATGTTTATCAGTTCTAATCATTTTCTTGCAGAGACTTTAGGTTTTTCCAAATAGAAGATCATATCATCTGCAAACCAGGATAAACTGATTTCTTTCTTCTCAATTTCGATGCCTTTTATATTTTCCTATTGTGTGATTGCTCTAGCTAGGCATGTTGTGCTTCCATTATCATTTGTTTCAAGAAATTTTTTAATTTTCTTCATAATTTCTTCATTGATCCACTGGTCATTCAGGAGCATATTGTTTAATTTTTATGTATTTGTAGAATTTCCAAAATTCCTCTTGTTATTAATTTCCAATTTTATTCCATCGTGGTCAGAGAAGATGCTTTATATTATTTCCATTTTTTTAAATGTTTTAAGACTTGTTTTGTGATGTAACATATGGTCTACCCTTTAGAATGATCCATGTGCTGAGGAAAAGCATGTGTATTCTGCAGCTCTTGGATGACATGTTCCGTAAATATCTATGAGGTCCATTTGGTCTGTAGTGCACATTAAGTAACATGGTTCTTTGTTGATTTTTTGTCTGGAAGCTGTGTCCAATGCTGGAAGTGAGGTATTAAAGTCTCCAGCTATTATTGTATTCTGGCCTATCTCTCTTTAGCTCTAATACTATTTTCTTTATATATCAGGGTGCTTCATTGTTGGGTGCATATATATTTAAAATTGTTTTATCCTCTTGCTGAATTGACCCCTTTATCATTATATAGTGACCTTCTTTGTGTCTTTTTATAGTTTTTGTCTTGAAATCTATTTTTTCTGATATGTGTATAGCAACTCCTGCTCTTTTTTGGTTTCCACTGGTGTGGAATATCATTTTCCATCCATTTATTTTCAGTCTGTGTGTATCATTATGGGTGAAGTGTGTTTCTTGTAGGCAACAGATCAGTGGGTCTTGATTTTTTCAGTCTGTCTTCTGATTGGAGAGTTTAGTCCATTTACACTCAATGTTACTATGATAAGTAAGGACTTACTCCTGCCATTTTGTTATTTGTTTTCTTGTTTTGTGGTCTTATCTTCCTTTTTTCTTTCCTTCCTGTCTTCCTTTAGTGAAAGTGCTTTTTCTGGTGATATGATTTAATTTCTTGCTTTTTAATTTTTGTGTGTCCATGGTGTGTTTTCTGACTTGGGGTTACCATGAGGCTTGCAAATACTATCTTATAACTCGTTATTTTAACCTGATAAGAATTTAACACTATTTGCATAAACAAGTGAAAAGAAAACTAATAAAAATTCTATGCCTTAACTCCATCCCCCCACTTTTTGTTGTTTCTATTTGTATCTAATTGTACTGACTCTGTCTTGACAAGTTTTGTAGTTATTATTTTTGATTGGCTCATCATTTAGTCTTTCTACTTAGGATAAGAGTAGTTTACATACCACAGTTACAGTGTTATAATATTCTGTGTTTTTTTGTGTACTTACTATTACTAGTGAGTTTTGTATCTTCAGGTGATTATTTATTGCTCATCAATGTCCTTTTCTTTCTGATTGATTTACTCCCTTTAGCATTTCTTGCAGAACAGATCTGGTATTGATGGAATGCCTCAGCTGTTGTCTGGGAAAGTCTATTTCTCCTTGATGTTTGAGGGATATTTTTGCCAGATATACTGTTACAGGGTAAAAGTTGTTTGTTTTTTTTTTCCTTCGTCACTTTAAATATGTCATGCTACTCTCTCCTGGCCTGTAAGATTTCCGCTGAAAAGTCTGCTGCCAGATGTATCAAAGCTCCATTGTAAGTTATTTGTTTCTATTCTCTTGCTGCTTTTAGGATCCTTTCTTTATCCTTAACCTTTGGGAGTTTGATTATTAAATGCCTTGAGGTAGTCTTCTTTGGGTGAAATCTGCTTGGTGTTCCATAACCCTCTTGTACTTGGATATTTATATTTTTCCCTAGGTTTGGGAAGTTCTCTATTATTATCTCTTTGAATAAACTTTCTACCCTTGTCTCTTTCTCTACCTCCTGTTTAAGGCCAACAACTCTTAAATTTGCCCTTCTGAGGCAATTTTCTAGATCCTGTAGGTGTGTTTCATTGTTTTTCATCCATTTTTTCTTTTGTCTCCTCTTTTTATTTTCAAATAGCCTGTCTTTAAGCTCACTAATTATTTATTCTGCTTGATCCATTTTGCTATTAAAGAACTCTGATGCATTCTTCAGTATGCCAATTGCATTTTTCAGCTCCAGAATTTCTGCGTGATTCTTTTTAATTATTTAAATCTCTTTGTTAAATTTATCTGATAGAATCCTGAATTCCTTCTCTGTGTTGAATTTCTTTGAGTTTCCTCAATATAGCGATCATTTTTATTTAAAAATTTTTAATTATATAGAAATGGAGGTCTCACTATGTTGCCCAGGCTGCCTTCAAACTCCTGGGCTCAAGTGATGCTAACACTTCAGCTTCCCAAAGTGCTGAGATTATAGGCGTGAGACCCCACACCTGGCCAGCACAGCTAATTTGAATTCTCTGTCTGAAACATCACTATCTCTGTTTCTCCAGGATTGATCCCTGATGCCTTATTTAGTTCATTTGGTGAGGTCATGTTTTCCTGGATGGTGTTTATGCTAGTAGATGTTCTTTGGTATCTAGGCATTGAAGAGTTAGGTATTTATAGTAGCCTTCACTGTCTGGGCTTATTTGTAAACAATCCTTCTTGGGAAGACTTTCCAGATATTTGAAAGGACTTGGGTGTTGTGATCTAAGCTGTATGTACTTTAGGTGACACCCCAAGCCCAGTAACACTGCAGTTCTTGCAGACTAGTAGAAGTACCACCTTGATGGTCTTGGACAAGATACGGGAGAATCCTCTGGATTACCAGGCAAAGACTCTTGTTCTCTTCCCTTACTTTCTCCCAAACAGAGTCTCTCTCTTTCTCTGTTCTGAGCCACCTAAAGCTGGGGGTGGAGTGACACAAGCACCCCTGTGGCCACAACCACTATGACCACACTGGGTCAGACCTGAAGGCAGCACAGCACTGGGTCTTGCCCAAGGCCTGCTGTGACCACACCTGGCTACTGCCTATGTGTACTCAAGGCCCTGGAAATCTATAATCAGGAGGCGGCAAAACCAGTCAGGCTTGTGTCCTTCCCTTTAGAGTGGTGAGGTCCCCCAAGCCCTGGGTGGGTCCAGAGGTACTGTCCAGGGGTCAGGGACTGGAGTCAAAAACTTTAGAAGTCTACCTGGTGATCTATTATGTTGCAGCTGAGCTGGCACTCAAACCACAAGATGTAGCCCTTCCTACTCTTCCCTTCCCTTTCCACAGGCAGAGGGGCCTCATCCCAGAGTCACCCCTACCCCAAACCACGAAGAGTACTGCCAGACTACTGCCCATGTTCCCTTAAGGCCCAAGGTCTCTTAAATCAGCTTGTGGTGAATGCTGCCTGGCCTGTGACTCACCCTTCAGGGCAGTGGGCTCCCCTCTGGCCCAGGGCAGGTCCAAAAATGCCAGCAAAGGGCCAAGTCCTGGAATCAGGGACCCTGAGGGCCTGCTTGGTGCTCTACCCCTCTGTGACCATGCTGTCTCAGAGCTAAGCCAGCATGTCTCAGAGACTCGTCCAAGGTCCTCGATGTAGTACTTGGGTATCACTACTGGTTGTTCAGGGTCCAAGGGCTCTTCAGTTAGCAGGTGACTGATGCTGCCAGGACTGAGTCTTTCCTTCAAGACAGCAGGTTCCCTTCTGACCCAGGATGTGTCTAGAAATGTTCTCCACGAGCGAGGGCCTGGAACAGGGGCCTCACAGCTCTGTCTGGTGCCCTATCCTGCTGTAGCTGAGCTGGTATCTAAGATGCAAGACAGTCTCCCCTACTCTTTCCTCTCTTCTCTTCAAGCAGAGGAAGGAGTCTCTTTTGGAGCCCCGAACTGAGTAGTATGGGATTAGGGGAGGGGTGATGCCACACTCCCTTGGCTGCCCCAGCTGATGTCTCAGTATGCACCCCGAGTCCACTGCCTCTGGGCCTAGTTCAGCATTAGGTCTCTCCTAAGAGTTGTAGACCTTACGGCCTAGACTGCCTTTCATGTTTACTTGGAGACACAGGGTGCTGTAGCCTTCTGTGGTGAGGTTTGCAGGCACTCAGTTCAGACTGCTGAGATCAGTGATTCCCCTCTAGCTAGGCCTGGTTAAAATGCTCCTTCCGTTGGCAGGCATTGGCTGAGTTTGGTCTGGTTTTCCTTTTTGCTCTAACAGAACAGCCCTGAGTTGAGTGCCTCACAATTGCTGTGTTCTCCCTCCCCCAGCTCCCAGAGACACTCTGCACCACCCTGCTGCAGCCAGGGGTGGGGGAGGGGTAGTGTCAGCAATTCAGGACTGTTTTTTCTATCTCTTCAGTGCTTCTTTCAGAGATATGAAGTTAAAACCAGATACTATGAGTGCTCACCTGATTTTTGGTTCTCATGAAGGGGTTTTTTCTCTGTAGATAGTTATTAACTCAGTGTCCTTGCGGGGGTGGGTTGGGGGGGCAATGATGGAAACTCTTACTCCATCATCTTGCTTTTCCTCCTTTCCCCCTCTCTAAACAGACCAGAATGTGGCTCTGAGCACTATCTTATTTTTTATTACATTAAATTAAGATGTGAAAGTTATGATTTATTACTTGGTAGGCCTCAATATGTTGTTTTTTCCCATTCTCATTAGTTAATAAAGATGCCAACCCTTAACTAAACTGATAGGAAATTTACCAAACTGCATAATAGTTAAACTTAGTTGCTTTGATTTGCTTTGTTTTTTAGCTTTCTTTTATCCCTTTGCATTTTTAATAAGGCATTTTTAATAATGCAAAGGAATAAAAGGAAGCTAGAAAAGGGCATTGAAATAATGAGCATTAAAATAATAATCCTCATATGAATTCAAGCAATGCATTCAAAGTGCAGTCCATGGCTTATTTATTGTCATGTCCTGGGCATCCGTCTAGTGAACCACACCTATGCACACTTTTAACAGTAACTGAGGTAGGCATTTAGTTCTTGAGCAAGAAAGAACACTTTAGCAAGTTTGGGAAGAAAGAAGCATTCTATTTCTACAAATGTATGCAACATTTGTTAACACAACAGCTATAACTACCATTTTAAAACATCTACTATGTGTCAGCACTATGCTAAGTGTAATATGGCTTATTTAAAATTCCTGCAACAGGCCGAGCACAGTGGCTCATGCTTGTAATCCCAGCACTTTGGGAGGCCGAGGTGGGTGGATCACCTGAGGTCAGGAGTTCAAGACCAGCCTGGCCAACATGGCAAAACCCCATCTCTATTAAAAATACAAAAATTAGCCAGGCGTGGTAGTGCGCACTTCTAGTCCCAGCTACCTGGGAGGCTAAGGCAGAAGCATCATTTGAACCTAGGAGGGCAGAGGTTGCAGTGAGCCGAAATTGCACCACTGCACTCCAGCCTGGGAGACAGAGTGAGAGTCTGTCTCAATAAATAAATAAATAAATAAATAAATAAATAAATAAATACATACATACATAAATAAATACATAAATAAATACATAAATAAAATAAAATTCCTACAACAGCCTTGTAGAAATAGGTATTATTTTCCTAATTCTATAAATAAGAAAATTAAGCCTCTAAGAAGTTAATTAACTTGTTTAGAAGTTCACACAGCTAGAAAATGGCTAAGAGTACACATTCTCAGAATCCACTTCTGATATCAGTGAGTAAACTTGGCTATTGATGAATAGATCTTATTAATGACTGTTATTTGATGTTAAGTCCATTTCAGCTTCCAAAGCACTATCACATATACTGTTTCTTCTCATTCAGTCTTTGTAACAATTCTGTGAGTAGGTCACTGCAATCCCACTCCACAGATGAAGAAACTGAGACCCCAAGTAATGCAACTATGAAAACAAGTCAATTCTGGAGACATGCGTGAAAGCACTCTGACTGAAGACCAATGTTATATTTCTGAAGGGAAAATTAATTGCGCTTCTTTCCAGAGAAGACTGACTCACCAGAAACGAGCATAATCAAAATAAGCATAATAATCTCCTCAACCTGTGGGCCCAGTGAGAAGGGAGGAGAGGTCCCCAGCACAGAGGAGAGCAAGGATTACTGCTTTTACCAACCTGAGTCAGTGCACACTACAGGCTGGTGTATGTGCACACATGTGTGTGCATGCACACTGGCAGCCTGCAGGTGCCCGAGGATTGCTGGGGTCTTCTGCATTCCCCTGGGGCAAGGAAAGGAAACTCTACCAGTGTGTTATAGCCGGGACCACAGTATGTGCCTGTTGCCTCAGATTGTGCTGGAGAGAGGCCCAGAGGGATCCTCCTCTTATGGGGCTGGCTTGACTCTTGCCAAGAACTGCCAGGCATTTAAGATACAGTCTTCACCTACACACATTTCCAGCAAACCCTTCAGATTGTAGCCCCCACAGCCTTCACACTTTCTCAACTCAAGCGTGGCATTGTGCCTGCCTTCAAACTCTGCATTGTAACAAAATTGAAGCCTCTTTTTGGATTATAGGGCCTGCAGGCTACAGCTACTTTAGAGAACTGACTGCTGGCCAAATTGAGAAATATTTGTTAAAAGGGGGCTTTTGCCAGGATATTTTCTCTGGAGACCGTTATCAATAAATCTGAAGAAAGAGGCCACACCTGAAAAGCCCATAGCATTAAGATGCCCATTGTACTCTTTCCTTTTGGGAATTACTGACTCTAGATAATCTCTTCAAATCTTTGGGTCATATTTGTTTCATTATTGAATATCACAAGAACTCACTGACGCAATAGGAAATATCCACAGATCTGCATTTATGTCAAGGGCTAAGAGGGGTCCACAGTAATGTAGCTTTGGGGTTGTGCTTAAAATAAAATAATAATCAAATTTTACTATTTCTTTCCTAGCATCTGTCCCTACCCAATTACTCTACTCAGTTATTTTTAGGAATTGGCTCCTGGCATTGATTCTTGAAGCCAGAGGTATTGTCTGTGCTGCCTCTTGGAATCATTTTTCCACTTGGCACACCCAGAGTTGGAGAGAGGAGTAGGCTGGATGGGTCTGTTGGAGTGTTATTGTTCATACAGTCTGTGTCAGCAAGGGCTGCAATCAGCTTGTTTGTCACATGTCTCTGAGCCTCACTCAGGCAGCCACGGGGATCATAGCCACTAATCCAGCTACACAGAGAAAGCTGGAGTCCAATGGGTGCTGAGCACCTTTTCTGTATCCTGTCCCTTGAATTAGAACCCCAGGTTTATATCCCAAGTCATCTTTTACCTAAATACACTATTTTTCAAAAAAGAAGAAGAAAGCTACCTTTGAAGGGTTAACATCAATGAATAGTTGGAAACTTGTTAAGAATTTTTTTTCCCTAACACATTTTAAAGTTTAGGAAAACCTAGAAATGCAATGCCTAAAAAAAGCCAGCTTCTCTCTATATTTCTAAATCATTTTTGTATCTTTAAAAAGATGTGTGTGCAATCTTCAGGGAGGAAGGGAAGGAATATATATGCCATTGCTGACTTCCTACTTCTAAAGATAGTACTTTAATATCTGTAAATCAGACTCACTACTTTGGTATTATATATCAAAAGACATAGAGTTTCAAAATAATGCAATTCTGGGACCCTCCTCACCTTCCGCTTCTCACCTATTTTTATCTTTCCTAAAGTACAAGGACCTTCAGAATCCTGAAAGGGATTCAGACAATTCAACATTTTTTTCCTGAGGCTAGATTAAAATTTACCTTTGCCTTATCTATATGTAGCAAGTAGAATTTGCTAAACAAAGAAGTAGTATAAACTCATATTCGGGATTATTGCTCCATTTACTTAAGAAAGGGGTTTCATCACCTTTAAAAATATTTTAACATCATTTGAAGGCAAATAATGAGTGAACAAATTACAAAGTATTAGTTCAGACAGGAAAGATATTTTTTAGGGCTTACCTGAAGCACAAAAACTTTTAAAACGATACAGTTTCTCAGTAATTCACAGTAGGCTTCCTTCCATTTATTTCAAATGGATGAAATTTTATTCACCATGAAAATGGTATACTACTGGGAGGAGAATTCCCAATGAGGGTTGAGTCTTGGCTAACTAGTTGGGTTAGCCAGGCAGCATAGTGGAGGTGGATTTGGCATTTGTGTTGTCATTCATTTACTCTAAAAATGTGTGTGTGTATTGTATTTTAGCATCTCTCAGCACTGTGCCACACACTAAAGATAACAGAGGATAAAATCTGTGGGCTTGACCTCACAGAACTTACAGTCAAATGGGGAATAGAGGAGTTATCATCCGGTAAGTGCTTTGACAAGGGAAGAGCAGGATTCTTTGGAAGCGCTTGGATGGAGCCCCTCAAACAGATCTGGAGAAGTGGCGTCTAAGCTGAAACCTGGAGGAGCAGTAGGAGTTGGAGAGGGGAGATATACAAAGGAATGTTTTAGATTACAATGTAGGTGAAACCACAGAGGCAAAGGAGAGCATGGCCAGGAGATGTGAGACAGAGGAAAAGATAGTTCTGTAACTTGGAGCTTCGAGGGCAAAGGTGCTTGTTCTGGCAAGAGAGGAAGCTCTACAGGTACAAAAATGCTGTAAAGCCTGACTTCTTAGAGGTATCCAACACAGTTCAACTCACCTTCTCTCTTGAAGTACGTTCTTTCCCTTTTAGGCTTCCATAACACCACAGTCTCTTTGTTTTCCTCCTACTTCATAGATTACTTCTCAGTCTCCTTTGATGTCTCCTTTTACCTTGCTCAGCCTCTAAATATTAGAGTTCTTTAAGACTTAGTCCTGAGCACTCTTCTCTGCTCTATTTACTGCCTACATACATTTACCAAGTGATTTCATCCAGTCATGTGACTTTAAATAGAATCTAGGCCTATGACCTCCAAATCTCTATCCCCTGCCCTGATCTCTTTCCCCAAATCCAGATTTATGTCTATTTCCTTCCCTGGCCACTCTCTTTAGCTGTTCAATAGGCAACTCAGACACAATACTCAATTAGTTAGAATGCGCTTGGCTGTGAGCAACAGAAAACTTCAACTCAAATGGCTTAAATAGTAAGGTCATTCTTACAGTGTTGTTCCTGACCTAGGTAGTTCGTAGGGATGGTATTGTAGGTGAGAAAAAATTTTTCTTCAAAACTCTTAAGTTTTGTTACTGGGGTCTGCAAATTAAACTGACAAAAGGAAGATTAACAGGAGAAAAAGTTTATTTATGCATGTAATGCTCATACATGCAGGAATGCTCAGTGATGAGTTAGTCAAAGGGATGATTGGAATTTGGGGCTTATACACCTAACTTAGTAGGAGAAAGGAAAGTGGGAGAAAAGGCTTCTATGGAAAGGACAAATACTTTTTTTAAAAGAAAGAAAAATGGGTTTTGGGGAGGACAAATGAGAGAGAAAGGTTTTGCTGATGTTTGTCTATACAGGTCTGAGCCATCTTTCCATCTCCTTCAGGGTCATAAAACCTCCCTGTGGGAAGGGTTTATGATAAGTTTACTCAAGGTCTCTCTCCTGGCACCAGATCCATCCCAATGAGGGAATTTATGGTAGCCTCATTTCCCAGATACAAATTTATTCTTTTAGTCCGATAAGGGAAATTCTGAGAAGGCTTCTTTCTGCATCTGCTGAATTTAAAATGCGTTTGGCTTATAATAATCCTTATGCCAAAGTCACATATTTTGAAGATGGCATATCCTGATCCCTTTCAGTGCTGCATTCTTTTAGTTGAACAAAATTGTACAAAGGGATTTCAGTGTCATGAATTGGGTTTTGGGCTAATTCTGAAATGGTGAATCACTGAAGGGCCTAGGTTAATATGATTCTTCTTAGCTCTGACCTAACCTCCCTTTATAATTCTATTCACCATAGGAGTCAAATTAAAGTCAAGAGATATTTTTGACCTATTGTAGTGCCTATTGTAGTATAGATCGTATATATTTTGATGTATTATAATGCCTACCATGGGCTAATTCTTGTGGTGAACTTCAGATCTGTGGTGTTAATTGATAGCATAAATAGTCCCCTTTAATGGCCTCTGTATCCCTGCCTTTCCCCTGAAACTTTTTTGTTCCTGCCAAGTTTGACCTTGAACTCGTTTATGAGACTTGCTTAGGCCAATGGAGTGTCAGCAAATGTGACACAACCAGAGGCTTTAAAAGTGATTGTTTATTAAGAACAAACCTAGGCTAGCTTGCCAGAGGAGAGGGGACCACATGGGGCAGAGATGAGCTGTCCCAAATGAGGCCATTCTAGATGAGGTGGCCTCCAGACAGTTGCCCAGCTAACCGCAAATGCATGAGCATGCCCAGCCAAGACCAGTTCAGTCTAGTCCAAGTCAGCAGAACTGCCTAGCTGATCTGTAGACCCATCATAAATAATAAATAGTAGTTAACTTAAGTCACTAGTATTGGGGTGGATTGTTATGTAATAGAAGCTAAAATACATGTGGAAAATTCCTAACTTTTTTGAATGGAGAGGATGAGAGAACACCTTAACAGAGGAGCTTATAGGAGTAGGGTTACTTCAAACTGTATCTTTCAGGTGTGGAATTTTTTATTCTGGGATTTCTCAAGATAGAAAAATTCTCAACTGGGCATGCTTCTCACAAAACATGCTGTCATACCTTGGCTGAGTAAGATGGTAACTCTAAATTGGTTCTGCTAATAGGCCATCCTCCCTTGACATGCAAAATTATATCATGGTAAGCGTCTCCTCTCTATGTGCAGAAGGTTGTGGTGCAACAGCGCTGGAAGAAGGCTGGTTACTGGACAGAGACCTGTGGAAGCTGTTAAGAGGTAGCACAGTGCTGTCTCATGAGCACAGGAGATGCAATCCCTAAGTAGGAACCATCACAGCAGTATATGGAATGGTCCCTGTGGAGATGAATTTCCAGCAAATTATTTAGCACTAGCTCTTTAAATCCTCTGAGGTCATGACAAGCCTCTGGCCAGTTTCACACAATGGCTGGTCACTTCTCTCAGGCTACAGTGATGCTCTTCACTTGCCAAAGGATTGCTACCAACCTCTAATTGCCTGCTAATCTTTATCCTTCATTTCCTCCACTCAACGGATGCTATCAAACTTGCAGTTTCACATTCAGCTTGCTGTCCTTTGTTGTGCCTTTGCAGAAGGTCTGGCACCATCACTTAGACACTTCTTGACACACTTTTATGTCAGAAAGAGAAGCTGCAAGGAAAAAACAACATGCATGACCACATGTGCTCAATTCAGCTCTCATTGGTCAGTAGTGGCTGCTACACAGTGTGGCTACGCTTGCTGGCAGAGGGATCTGCTGGGCTGGCTCTCAGGGAATGAGAGGATATGATTGTTCCAAGTATGTATTGATAATAGAATACAATGTATCATTTAATAAGATAAATACAGTTGGTCTTAAACCTGCAGATATGGAGGGCCTTGAGCTTCTGCAGATTTTGGTATCTGCACAGGGTCCTGGAACTGGTCCCCTGCAGATACTAAGGGGAGAATGTACTTCAAATTATAGTAAAGCTATAAAAATTGTAGCTTACTGATTAAGCACATAGACTTTAGAATCAGACAGGCCTGGGTGCAAATTAAGATTTATGATTTACTAATGCTCTCATTGTGAGCTTGTTACTTAACCTCTTATGCCACTGTGCAATGAAGACAGTAATTCCCACTTCCTAGGGATCTTGCAAGGATTAAATGAGACATAGCACGTAAAATGCCTAGCACAGTACTTAATACCTAGTAAGCACTCTGTAATTATAGGTGATGATAATAATGATGATTACCTAAGATAATTTTCTCCCAAATATATTCTACCCAACAATGGTGTATTTGGAAATATTAATAGGTGTACTGTGAAATAAAGGTTTCAGAGGTCACAGAGAACATCAATATGTAGTGAAGAAACTAGTTGAATTTTATTTAACCCAGTTTTTCCCACATTGATTTGAAGACAGAACCTTTTTTTTTCTTGGAAGGCCTATTGACATCTGTGGGACAGCAGTGTCCTCCCAGACCCCTGTTTGGACAATGCTGGCTCATGAAAATAATTTTCAGTTGTTTGACTATTGAAAAATCCCTCACCAGAAAGCAAAATGAGAATTGAATATAAAGAAGCATTACGTGTAAAAACCTGGCCTCCGTGGGTATGGGAGCAATGTTGCAGTTGGCTTGCAGCCTTTCTGGAGTCTCGGAACACAGGAGATCGTCATCTCAGCCATCTGCTGTGAAGGGGCAGCATGTCGTGCAGTGGGACAGAGTCAGAATTGGCTGTTCCATCTGCCAGCATCACTTTGAAACAGAAGCCACAGAGGGCTTTTTCTCAGTGACAGCTCAGTCCCCTGAAGACAAGCCCTGAACTCTGGACTGTCCTCACTAAGACCACCCAAGGCCAAAACTGGACTTTTTCTTCAGCCAGAAGTGGCCACACATGTTTTTTGATTTTTGTTTGTTTGAATTTGTTTTGTAGGCAACCACATGAAGCACAGACCCAGGAGGCCTAAGCTGGCCTCGGTGTAGGAGAAGCCGGGCACAGGGATGTTTTTGAAGAAGAAAGTGACCACTTGTCAAAGAATTCAGGATTGATTCCTAACGCAGAGTGACTCATCAAGAGACCCAGGTTCTATTGGCCACCCCTCTTCAGCTGGTTATTCAGGCTAGGGAAACTGTTTTTGTTTTTTAAGGGAAAGTTTATAGAAAGTGAGAGAAGGTAGATACGAGATTCAAAAGACAAAGTAGAAAGAAATGTGTGTTCTTTAAGGTAAGAGCAGGTACTTTTTAAGCATAATATTGAATTAACATTTGGTGTAATATTGAATTTATATAGTGTCAATGTTGAATTGATGAAGGGAAATCTGCAAGTGAAAGAGACACCAAACTGCTTTTGTGATCGGATAGTTTGTATATCTTGCTACTGAGAATATGTTTAATCCTATGCTTCATAAATAGCTACATGGCACAGAGAAAGATGGAATACTTACCAATTCACTTACGAAGTGAGCAAAACTAAAACCATCATATAACATTTTAACAAAAACCATCAAACAAACTCTCCACCAAAACGAATAAAAACAAAACTCTTCAGATGCAACTGACACTGACTTGGGAAGACAAATTTAAAATGAGTGGAAATACTATGAAATTAAATTCTTAATACCTTACATTAAATTAAATAATTAAATTGAAATCTTAAAGACTATAATCAGACCATGTAAGGTTTACCATAGAAATGTAAGGAATGGTTTATTAATGGGAAATCTATAAAGAAAAAATTATATAATCATCTTAGCAGATGATACCCACTTGTGATTTAAAATATTGTAAAGTAGGAAAAGAGAGTAGTTCCTTAACAGTACTTATACAAATAGTCACTGGAGACATACTGTAGTAGAGTGTTCCCATTAGAACTGGAAATACGATAACAATATATTACCTTCAGTATTTACAATTATTTAATAGTATTGTCTTCACTTTTAAATATTTTCCTGGAAGTTGTAGCCATTGAAATAAGATAGGAAACAAACAAAAGACAGTGTGATAATTAATTTTAGGTGTCAACTTGGCTGGGCTATGGAGCTGAGATGTTTGGTCAAACACCAGTGTAGATGTTGCTCTGAAAATATTTTTTAGATATTAATTTAAATTAGTAGACTTTGAGGAAAACAGATTATCCCTCATAATGTGGGTGGGTTTCAGCCAATCAGGCTTTAAGAGAAAAGACCTAGTTCCCTTGAGGGAGAAGAAATTCTGCCTCCACACTGCCTTTGGACTTGAGACTGCAACATCAGCTCCTTCCTGGGTCTCTAGCCTGCTGGCCTGTCCTGCATATGTTGAATTTTCCAGCTCCAGAATTATGTGAGCCAATTTCTTAAAATACAGTCTCTGTACACACACACACACACACACACACACACACACACACACACACACACACACACAGCCCCTATTGGTTCTGTTTTTCTCTGGAGAACTCTAATACATACAGCAACAACAGCTAACACCTATTGAATGCTTTCTATGTGCCAGGCAATGTTTTGAGGGCTATACATGTATGTATTAACTCATTTAATCCTCACAATAACCCTAAAAAGTAGTGCTGTTTTTGTCCTTATTAAAAACTAATTAGAATGAAATATTCTGAGGATTCGTAAGAATATCTGGGCAAATTAAAGGAGAAGAACCAAAAGCCTCCAGTTTCTACCCCATACCCTTTTACTTTTAGGCAGCAACTCCAACTGTCTCATTCTGGCTAAGGTTTACCAGTACTCTGGGACCTTGCATTGGTGATGAAATTAATCCTGCTATCCTGGTGGTAGTCAGTTGAGTTGGACACAGGCTGGGAAGCAATCATATTCAGGAACTTCTGTAGAGATTGAACTTGTACTCTGATGATGCTGTATTAGTTTCCTATTGCGTTTGTAACAAATTACAGTACCACAAACTTAGAGGCTTACCATTCTGGAGGTCAGACGTCCTAAAACCGAGGTGTCAGCAGGGCTGAGTTTTAGGGAAGAGTGTTTCCTTCCAGCTTCCAAAGGCTACCTATACTCCTCGGCCCATAGCCCTTTCTCCACCTTGAAAGTGAGTAGTAGGCCATCTTCAAATTTCTCTGACCTCGGCTTTCATTGTCCATGACCTCTCTGATTCTGACCCTCTTCCTTCCCTGTTATAAGAGCCATTATGATGACTTTGAACTCACCTGGATATTCCACAATTATCTCTCTTCTCAAGATCTATAACTTAATCACATCTGCAAACTTCCTTTTGCCAGGGAAGGTAATGTATTCACAGGTTTCAGGGATTAGCCTCTGGACATCTTTGGAGGGATCATTATTCTGTCTATCATACATACCACGCATAGGTGAAAGACCCCAGCATCTCTTTCCTATGGAGAAGTATGCATGTAATGGATCAAAAAAATAAAAATGAAAAATAAAAAATAAAAAAAGCTGGCTTCTCAAACTCATATTATTATCCTGAAAAATATGTCAACTTTCAGTGTTTTCCTGTTCCTGGTTTTCTGGGGGCAAACCTGCAGCACAACCCAGTTTTAGAAAACTGTACCACTGGAAAGGAGAATTTTCTTACAACCCTGCCTTCTACCCTTTCCATATATGCATAATGTAGCAAAACTAGGAAGAAACATAGATCCATATTATTCTCATCTGGTTGCAGGGAAGTCTATGTCTAATACAGAAACAAAAGACAAATTCACAGTGGACAAGATCAATAGCTATGGCCTACCTAAAAGTTCAAAACTCTGTAGAACTTTAAAAAACAGAAACAAAATTAAAAGACAAACAACAAAGTAGAAAACTACTTACAAAATATATAACAAATGGTTAATATATTTAATCCATAGGAAAGTTATAAATTAATAGGAGGAAAACACTCCCAAGGCAGCATGGGCAAAAGAAACAGATACTTCACAAAGGAAAATACCAAGTGGCTTATATATACAGGAAAATACTTAACCTCATAAGCAGAAAGGGAATGTAAACAAAAATAACCTGACAAATGTAAAAACACATAATGACCAATGCTGGTGAAGATGTGGTGAAGCTTTTCAGGCTCCTTCCTGATTGCTGATAAGAGCATGAATGGGTACAACATTTCTGGGGTCCCATTTGACGATATGTATTAAAAGCTTACACACCCTATGACCCAGAAATTTCACTTACAGACATTTATTTGAAGGAAATAATCAGAAGACTATGCAAAAATCGGGCTGCAAGGATTTTTCACATAGTCTGCATATTTAAAACATACATGTGTATATAAGAACAAAAGAAAGAATCTAAATGTCTGAAGGAAAGATTGGTTAACTTTATTATAATCAGCTGTAAAATAGAATTATACAGTCCTTCAAAATGAGAATTTTATCCATTCAATCTTATTTATTACCTGATTTTATATTTACTGCTTTCTTTCACTAAAAACAAGGGCAGGAACTCGTTCTTTAACTGCTGTGCTCTGGAGGACTGAATGTATGGCATGATACAAACCATATTTTTCAAATAACATAACAACATGTGAATCATCTACAATTTAAAAAGAAACAATATCAAGATAGAAAAATTGTGGAGAGTAAGATGCAAAAGTAAAAGGGATTAGAAGGAAACACATCAAAATATTTATACAGATTATCTCTGGACGTTGAGATTGAAGATGATTTAATATTTTTTCATGGTATGTTTTACAGTTCCCAAATTCACCATAATGACCATTAATTTCACAGTTTGAAAATATTTAATGAATAAATACAATTTTAAAAGAAGAGTAATAGTGCCTTCTGTCAAAATCACAACTTTTTCTCCTGCACTTTTAGTAGGGGCTACTCAAAGTGAGATCTATGGACCAATGGAACCTTGGAACTTGGGTGAAATACAGAATCACAACCCACTATTAAGTCAGAATTTGAATTTTATCAAGATGCCTAGATAATTCATTTATACATTAACATTTGAGAATGTTTTAGGTTATTTGCAACTGATCATGTCATAACTGTATTGAGTTTGCTAATTACTATCAAGATGTAGTATTCAGCATTCTGTACAAATGAGTTAATATAATTTTAAATATCTTTGTGGCATTGAAATAACTTCCACACAATTTCAGTAAACTGCCTCATCATTTGGATGCAAATAATTCAGAAACACTAGGGTGAAACCTGCCCTGATATTTGCCTGTGCCCTAGCCCTTGCTGCTGGCTGTTTTAACCTCTGATTCAGTGGCTGTGAAGACACCCTGCCCTGTTTCCCTCACCCCACTGCCTCCATTAACTCATCCTTGCATTAACTACCAATGTTGCTTTTGCTCACCTGCTCATCACGTGGATCTGCTCATCCACGTGGATCCACGTGGATCCTGTTCCATATAGTCAAATACACTGTCACTTCTGAGATTACTCAGAGATTTTTAAAAGCCTATTGATCACTTGGTGTTAGGTAGACAACAGTTGCTTTTCAGAGCAAAAAAATTTTCAGAGATTTATTTATTTCAATTATTGAACATTTGCCAGATAATTGATTCATAGGACAGTCCATGACCTTGAAGACCTCTTAATAAAATGGCAAGGGTGAGAGGGATGGGAGGCAGGCAACGTGTAGAAATATCACACAGTGAGCAGATGGGATATGTGCCTTTGACAAAACACAAGAAGGGAGCAATCATAGTGCCCAGGGAAAGCCAGGAAGGATTTGGGGAGAAGTGAAATTCTTCTGTCACCTTCTAACTCCTACTCAGATGAAGTTACTGCCATAGCAGATACATCTGTAGGCTGTACACATATCACTTTTGTCATCTTCCCTGGCAGACTGATAGTTCAATGATGGCACAGAGCACATCTCTCAGGCTCACAAAGGGAGTGCTTAATCTATCTATATTCGTTCAGTGAAGGGATCTGATCTGAATCTTAGAGAGAGAGTTGGACTTGGCCTTGAGGATGGGTGGATGTTCCTTGGGGCAGAGGATGTAGCCTGCACCAAGGCAAGAGGAATAGAACACCACAGTGTGCTTTAATTGGCATCAGCACACCGTCTCCAAACTGCCTATCAGTGGATCAGGGAGATATTTCCATTTTGAAAAGGCCTGTCTGCCAAACTTGGGGGCTACAGAGAATAAAACCTTTTGACCAGCTACCGGTGACAGATTTAAAGTTAAACCACCAGCCACAGGCACATATCAGAATATGGTTCCCCCTTTCAAAGGAAGGGCTGTGATTATGCAAGCCTGCCCAGGAATCCCCAGCCTGTGCTTTATTTATGGCTGGCCCCTTCAAAGCAGAGTGCAAACGTGCTCGGAATGAGCAGGCAGGCAGCACAGCTTTGCAGCCTGGGTACCTAGAGCTTCTAGAAAAGGAAGCAGAGTTGGAGGGCTGCCAAGCCAGTAAGCTGTCTGCAGCATGACCAGGAAGAGGAGAAGCTTGGCTTTTTTGTCTTCAGTGCCTCCTCATCATTTTCTCAATATCCTGTAGCATTTGAACAGGCTGCTGTTGGTTTTCGGCAGGGTGATGTGCATGGTGACATTTGTATTAGTGGCTTCCTGATGACTGCCTTTTGTTTACCAAACCATAACAAAAGGTGGAGCTACTCCAGAAAATTGAAAGTCTATGGGTACCAAGGGCAAAAACCCCATCAAATTTGGGATGCGTGTCCTTTGGCTGCTGGAAAGGGGCCTGTAACATAGCCCTTGGTCACCCACTTGCCCTGTGCTTGGGGCACTGTGCAGGTTTGGCTGGCAGAAGGGCTCTCCCTGTCAGTAAATACTGTGCTATAGGACACAGAAGCTGGAGGTGAGCAGGCCAAAGGGATGCCTGGAGGATCCTGAAATGCTGGTTTTAGAAACCTGCTTCTTAGTGAAGGTAGCCACTCCCTGGGGCTGTATCACCCTGCCCTGCAGCTCTTGAGGCATTGCCGGGCATGCACTCCATGTCACCCGAGAGAAGTTACACCTTCAGGTTCAGTAGAGGCCACTGCCCCAGAAGAAGGGTGTGGAAAGAATATTTGAGATGTGAGACTCTGAGCTGAACTCAGTATGACCTTGCATAGCCGTTTGCTTCAGTCCCAAACCAGCTTCCTTTAACCTCTAGTGAAAATGTTTCCCACATGTGTCAAGTAAGGCTTATCAGCAAAATCTGATGGGACTAAGATGTATAGGAACCAAGGTAGGGAGGAAGAACTTTCTCAATGACTCTTCACCCAGAGCAGAAACTACCTTTTCTCATTTCTCTTTAGTACACTGGAGTGGTTTGACTGTTCAAATATTTTTGGAGCTTGGCTCCAAAAATGCAGTCCCTGACCACAGGGAGCTGAATACAAAGGCTCCCTCTTAGAGAACATGTTTTATGTCCTCCTGAATGCTTTCACATATCTATAGTCCCCATGAAAAGACACAGCCCATCTTGTGAGGTGCCTGAGGTCCATGCTAGTTTCCTTTGATGCATGCAGACATGAAGGAAGCTAACAAGGGTCTTCCGTGCAAGGGACCCAGGACTCTGGACTCTGGGGCCTACTGCAGCACCATGGACACTTGTCTTCACCCCTTCATCACAGGCCTGCAATGGTACTGTCTCTGGTGGAGGAATAGACAGCCTAGTTTGGCAAATTTACTTTCTTCTACCTCTGAGACTTGTAACTCAGGCTTTTTGTGAGATCTTCAGTGCAATATCTTTCTTGGTTTAGTCTAAATATAGTTTTCAGTAGGCAGGAGAATAATGCTTAGAAAGCATACAACTTGCTGATGTCAGGGGGAGAGAGATCTATTTCTATTATATCAGGGCTCCCCAACCCCCGGGCCACAGACCTGTACTGGTCCATGGCCTGTTAGAAACCTGGCCATACAGCAGGAAGTGAGCAGCAGGTGAGCAAGCATTACTGCCTGAGTTTCCTGTCAGATCAGCAGCAGCATTAGATTCTCATAGGCATGCAAACCCTGTTGTGAACTATGCATGTGAGGGATCTAGGTTGCATGCTCCTTTTGAGAATCTAATAAGGCCTGATGATCTGAGGTGGAACAGTTTTACCCCAAAACCACCAACCTCCTTGATCTGTGGAAAAACTGTCTCCCATGAAACTGGTCCCTGGTGCCAAAAAAGATCGCGGGCCACTGTATCATGCCATATAATTCAGCTTTTATATGACTCATATTTGTTTATTCAACTGTCATTGTCCTAATTCTCATCTGCATACTGCCTGAAGTAGTTAATCTTTGGGTCTACAATAGCTGCCTTCTTGGCAATTCTGCCAACATATTCCTCGAATAATCCTATATTCACCAGCCTCCAGTGGAAGACATCAAGGCTCTGAACAGAGCTCCAGAAAAAGGAAATGTCTGCATTCTAGGAAGGGCATACTTCAAGAGGGGCTACTTTTCCTAATTTGCACAAAAGCCCCCAGAGGGCTAATGATGTCTCTGGGAGAAACAGAACTCTGGCAGGTTATTTAGATACATTATCCCTTTTTTTCTGAGCATGGAGTTTTGGGAAGGCCATTCTCTCCCCAAGCCTTTGCCACTTTTAACTATTAAAAGATTGTAAACATTCCAGGCCGGGCACAGTGACTCATGCCTGTAATCCCAGCACTTTGGGAGACTGAGGCAGGAGGATCATCTGAGGCCAGGAGTTTGAGACCAACCTGGCCAACATGGCCAGTTCTCTACTAAAAATACAAAAAATTAGCCAGGCGTGGTGGCAGGTGCCTGTAATCTCAGCAACTCGGAAGGCTAAGGCAGGAGAATAGCTTGAACCCGGGAGGCAGAGGTATATATATATGTACATATATGTACTTATATTAGTACTTGTATATGTACTAGTATATATATAAAATAAGCATTCCAAACAGTTTTGAAAAAATTCAGTAATTCTACTTATTCTTGTGTATTCTGTAGTTCCTGTTCATATATAATTTATAAATCATATCAGAATGTGCTCTCAATTTTCTATGCTACCTTTTTTGCTGAAACTTATGCCATAAACACTTCACATTTCTAGTGGTTTCTGTTTTTCATAAGAATTGTGATAGTGCATAACTTCCTCTGAGGAAATGGATGACAACTCGTTTAATTATTCCTGTATTCCTGGACTTTTGATGTTGCTTGTGGTGTTTTGCCTTCATAGATAGCACATCCGTGAGCATCTCTGTGTCCACAGCTGCCCTTCTTTTGTACAGCTGGCCCTTGAACAACACGGATTTGAACTGCACAGGTTCACTTATTTGTGAATTTTCTTCAGTTTCCGGCACCCTAGACAGCAAAACCTCCTGCTCTTCTTCCTCCTCAGCCTACTTAATCTGAAGAAGACAGGGATGAAAAGCTTTATGATGATCCACTTCTACTTAAGGAATAGTAAATATATTTTCTCAACAGCATTTACTTGCTAGCTTACTGTATTGTAAGGATACAGTATATACTACTCATAGCATAAAAATATGTACTAATTAACTGTTTATATTATTGGTAAGACTTCCAATCAACAGTGTGCTATTAGTAGTTAAGTTTTTGAGGAGTCAAGAGTTATACGTTGGAGAGCTGGTGAAGATGGTGGACTAGAAGCAGCTACTGTGCCCTGCTCTCATGGAGAGAAATAGAAGGGGCAAATCAATACAACACCTTCATGAAACACTCCTGTACCTGCATTGGGATTCATCAAGAAAACAACTTGACCCATGGAGAATGGAGAAGAGTAAGGCAGGACAATCGCCCACCCAGGAGTGATGTGGAGCCAGGGGAATCTCCCCTGCCCAGGGAAGCAGTGATTGAGTGAGCGACTCCAGGGACCCAGGCTTCTCCCATGGATCTTTTCAATCCTCAGGTCACTCCACCAGGGCCTTCAGTCTGATACAGAGAGCTATGTAGAGTCTTGTCAGAGAAACTACTCAGGCACACTCAAACTTCCAGGGGCTTTAGATACCCACACTTCCCAGCAAAAGCAGCTGCAACTCTGGCAAAGTGGGAGGTTAGACCTCTACATATATCCCTAGGAAAGGGGCTGAATCCAGGGTGCTGAGCAGTGATGGTGTACAGGCCCTGCTTCCACAGATCCTGCTTCCACAGCACCTCACATGATAAGACCCACTGGCTTGGAACTCCAGCCAGCCGCAAGTAGCAATGTTACTCCTCCCCGAAAGGGAACATCCAGAGGGAGGGGTGGCCCACCATCCTTGCTGTTTCACAGTTTTAACCATTGATACCTTTGGGCTCCAGAGAATCCGAGGTGATTAAGGACTGGAGCAGACAACCAGCACAGTGCAGCAGCTCTATCAAGAGGCTGCCAGACTGCTCTTTCACACAGGTACCAGATCTTGTTTCTCTTCACTGGGAAAAATCTCCCAACCAAGGTTTACAACCACCCTGCCAGTGTTTCCCAGCTGTATTAGTCCATTCTCATGCACTATAAAGAATTCCCTGAGACTGGGTAGTTTATAAAGGAAAGCGGTTTAACTGACTCACAGTTCTGCAGGGATGGGGAAACCTCAGGAAACTTACAATCATGGCAGAAAGGGAAGCAAACATGTCCTTCTTCACATGGTGGCAGGAAGGAGTAGTGCTGAGCAAAAGGAGAAAAGCCCTTTATAAAACCATCAGATCTCATGAGAACTCCTTGCTATCACAAGAACAGCATGGAGGTACTCACCCCCATGATTCAATTATGTCCTGCCACGTCCCTCTCATGACACATGGGGTTTATGAGAACTATAATTCAAGATGAGATTTGGGTGAGGACACAGCCAAACCATATAATTCCCCCACTGGCCCCTCCCAAATCTCATGTCTTCACCTTTCAAAACATAGTCACTCCTTTCCAACAGTCCCTCACATTCTTAGCTCATTCCAACATTAACCAAAAAGTCCAAGTCCAAAGTCTCACCTGAGACGAAGCAAGTTCCTTCTGTATATGAGCCTGTAAAATCAAAAGCAAGTTAGTTACTTCCTAGATAAAGTGGGGGAACAGGCATTGGATAAATATACCCTTTCCAAATGGGAGAAATTGGCCAAAATGAAGGGACTACAGGCCCCATGCAAGCCTGGAATCCAGCAGGGCAGTCAAATCTTAAAGCTTTGAAATGGTCTCCTTTGACTCCATGTCTCACATCCAGGTCATGCTGATGCAAAAGGTGGGCTCCCACAGCCTTGGCAGCTCTTCCCCTATAGCTTTGCAGGATTCAGCCCCACTCCCAGCTGCTTTCATGGGCTGGCATTGAGTATCTGCAGCTTTTCCAGGTGCATGGTGCAAGCTGTTGGCGGATCTACCATTCTGGGGTCTGGAGGGCAGTGGCCTTCTTCTCACAGCTCCACTAGGCAGTGCCCCAGTGGAGACTGTGTGTGGCGACTCCAACCCCACATTTCCCTTCCACACTGCCCTAGCAGAGGTTCTCCATGTGGGCTCCAACCCTGCAGCAAACTTCTGCATGGACATCCAGGCATTTCCATACATACTCTGAAATCTAGGTGGATGTTCCCGAACCTCAATTCTTGACTTCTGTGCACCTGCAGGCTCAATACCGTGTGGAAGCTGCATCATCTTGGGGCTTGAATCTCTCCCCAGAAAATGGGTTTTTCTTTTCTATTGCATCATCAGGCTGCACATTTTCCAAACTTTTATGCTCTGCTTCATCTTTTTTTTTTTTTTTTTTTTTTTTTTTGGCAGAGTCTCATCCTGTCACCACCCAGGCTTGAGTGCAGTGGTGTGATCTCATTGCAACCTCCCAGGTTCAAAGGTTCAATCAATTCTTGTGCCTCAGCCTCCCAAGAAGCAGGGATTACAGGCACGTGCCACCACGCCTGGCTAATTTTTGTATTTTTAGTAGAGACCTAGTTTTGCCATGTTGACCAGGCTGGTCTTGAACTCCTGACCTCAAGTGATCCACCCGCGTTGGCCTCCCAAGGTGCTGGGATTACAGGCATGAGCCACTGTGCACAGCCAGCCTGCTTCATCTTGAATGCTTTGCTGCTCAGAAATTTCTTCTGCCAGTTACCCTAAACAATTTATCTCAAGTTCAAAGTTCCACACGTCTCTAGGGCAGGGACAAAATGTCACCAGTCTCTTTGCTAAATCATAACAACAGTTACCTTTGCTCCAGTTCCCAACAAGTTCCTCATCTCCATCTCAGGCCACTTCAGCCTGGACTTTTATTGTCCATATCACTGTCAGCATTTTGGTCAAAGCCATTCAACAAGTCTCCAGGAAGTTGTAAACTTTCCTACATCTTCCTGTCTTCTGAGCCCTCCAAGTCTGTAGGAAGTTCCAAGCTTTCCCACATTTTTCTGTCTTCTTCTGAGCCCTCCAAACTGTTCCAACCTCTGTCTGTTACCCAGTTCCAAAGTTGCTTCCACATTTTTGAGTATCTTTATAGCAGCACCCCACTCTCTGTGGTACTAATTCACTATATTAGTCTGTTGTCACACTGTTATAAAGAACTGCCCAAGATTGAGTAGATTATAAAGAAAAGAGGTTTAATTGACTAATAGTTCTGCAGGTATGGGGAAACCTCAGGAACTTACGTTCATGGCAGAAGGGGAAACAAACATGTCCTTCTTCACATGGTGGCAGGAAGGAGAAGTGTCAAGCAAAAGGGGGAGAAGCCTCATATAAAAATATCAGATGTCATAAGAACTCCCTCACTATCATGAGAATAGCATGGAGGTAATTGCCCCCATGATTCAATTACCTCTCACTGGGTCGCTCCCCGACATGTGGGGATTATGGGAATGACAATACAAGATGAGACTTGGGTAGCGACACTGCCAAACCATATCACCAGCTAACAGCAGTTCCAAACCTCCCTGGGATGGAGCTCCCAGAGGGAGGGGTGGACTGCCATCTTTGCTGTTTTGAAGGCTTAGCCATTGTTGCCTTTGGGCTTTGGAGGGTCTGAGGTAACTGGGGGTTGGAGCAGACCCCCGGCATAGCACAGCTGCTCTACAGTGTACAGATTGCTTTTTAATGCAGGCCCCTGATCCTACTTCTCCTCACTGGGTGGGACCTTCTAACTGGGGTCCCCAGCCACTCCCACCAGTGTGTTTGGCATGGCAATGGGGCTGTACCTTCCTGGGATGGAGGAGCAGGCTGCCATCTTGCTGTTTTGTAGTCTTCACCACTGATACCTTCAGGTATGGGAAAATTTGAGGTGACTAGGAACTGGAGTGAACCCCCAGCATACTGCAGCAGTCCTATGGAACAGTGGCCAGACTGTTTGTTATGTCAGTCCCTGGTCCCATATCTCATCACTGGGCAGGTCCTTCTGGCCTGGGTCTCCAGCAACCCCCCTGCTGCAACAATTGAGCCTATAGTAGCTCTGTGACTCCCTGGGACAGAGCTCCCAGTGGGAGGGGCAGGTTGCTGTCTTTGTAGTCTCCAGGCTCCAGAGAATCCATGGGACCAAGGGCTGGTCCAGACCCCTAGCACAGAGCACCCACCTCACAGAAAAGTGGCCAGACTTTTCTCTATGCAGGTCCCAGTCCTCAATTCTCCTCACTGGGCAGGGTCACCTGACGTGGAACTCCAGCTCAACCATCCTGCCCATCTTACCACTTCAATCAGAAGCAGCCCAGCAGTTAAAAGTACACTCACAGGTAGAGATGAGGAAGAACCAATACAAGAATGGCAACTCAAATGGCTGGAGAGTCTTATGTCCTTGAAACAGCCAGTCTGGTCCTTCAACACGGGTTCTTAACCAGGCTGGATTGGCTGAAATGACAGAAATAGAATTTGGAATATGGATAGGAATGAAGATCACTGAGATTCAGGAGAATGGCAAAACCCATTCCAAGGAAATAAAGAATCACAACAAAATGATACAGATGTTGACAGATGAAGTGGCCAGTATAAAAAATATCCTAACTGATCTAATAGAGCTGAAAAAACACATAAGATTTCATAATGCAAATGCAAGTATTAACGGCAGAATAGAACAAGCTAAGGAAAGAATCTCAGATCTTGAAGACTGGTTCTCAAATAAGACAGACAAAAATTAAAAAGAATGAAAAGAAACAAAACCTTTGAGAAATGTGGGATTGTAAAGAGGCCAAATTTACGAATCATTGGCATCACTTGAGAGGAAAGGGGAGAAAGCAAACAAGTTGGAAAAGATATTTTGGGGTATGGTCCATGAAAAGTTCCACAACCTTGCTAGAAATGTCAACACTCAAATTCAGGAAATACTGAGAACCACTGCAAGATTCTACATAAGAAGATTATCACCAAGACACTTAATCATCCAATTTTCCAAGGCTGAAATAAAAGAAAGTATGTTAAAGGCAGCTAGAGAGAAAGGGCAGGTTACCTACAAAGGGAATCCCATTAGACTAACAGCAGATGTCTCAGCAGAAATTCTCCAAGCCAGAAGAGATTGGGGGCCAATATTCAACATTCTTAAAGAAAAAATATCTTCAACCAATAATTTCATATCTAGCCAAACTAAGCTTCCTAAGTGAAGGAGAAATAAGATTATTTCAGATAAGAAAATGCTGAGGGAATTCATTACCACCAGACTTGCCTTATAAGAGATCTTGAAAGGAGCACTAAATATGGAAAGAAAAGACTGTTACGAGCCAATACAAACACCACACTGAAGTACACAGACCAGTGACAATATAAAGCAACCACACAAACAAGCCAGCATAATACCCAGCTAAAAATGCAATTACAGGGTCAAATCAATACCTATCATTACTAACATTGAATGTAATGTGCTAAATGCCCCATTTGAAAGGGACGGAGTGGCAAGCTGGATAAAAAAGAAAGACCCAATAGTATGCTGTCTTCAAGAGACCCATCTCACATGCAGTGACACCCATAGGCTCAAAATAAAAGGGTAGAGGAAAATCTGCCAAGCAAATGGAAATCAGAAAAAAAGCAGGGGTTATAATCCTAATTTCAGACAAGCAGACTTTAAGCCAACAATGACTAAAAAAAGACAAAGAAAGGCATTACATAATGGTAAAAGGTTCAATTTAACAAGAAGACCTGACTATTCTAAACATACATGCACTCAACACAGGAGCACCAGATTCATAAAGCAAGTTCTTAGAGACCTACAAAGAGACTGAGACTCCCACACAGTAATAGTGGGAGACTTTAACACTCCACTGACAGTATTAGACAGATCATCAAGGCAGAAAATTAACAAAGATGTTCAGTACCTGAACTCAACATTGGACTAAATAGATCTAATAGACCTCTACAGAACTCTTCACCCCAAAGCAGCAGAATATACATTCTTCTCATTGCTGTATGTCACATACTATAAAATCCACCACACAATTGAACATAAAACAATCCTCAGCAAATGCAAAATAACTGATATCATACCAAACACACCCTTGGACCGCAATGCAATAAAAATAGAAATCAAGACTAAAAAAATGTCTCAAAGTCATGTAATTACAAGGAAATTAAGCAGTCTGCTCCTTAATGACTTTTGGGTAAATAATGAAATTAAGGCAGAAATCAAGAAGTTCTTTGAAACTAATAAGAACAAAGATACAACATACCAGAATCTCTGGGACACAGCTAAGGCAGTGGTAAAAGAGAAATTTATAGCACTAAATGCCCACATCAAAAAGTTAGAAAGACCTGAATTTAACAACCTAACATCACAACTAAAAGAACTAGAGGAGCAAGAGCAAACCAACCCCGATCTAGCAGAAGACAAGAAGTAACCAAAATCAGAGCTGAACTGAAGGATAGTGAGACATGAAAACCTTTCAAAAGATTGACAAATCTAGAAATTGATTTTTTGAAAAAATTGATGATTGGTAGGTCACTAGCTAGATTAATAAAGAAGAAAATAGAGAAGATCCAAATAAACACAATCAGAAATGACAAAGAGGATGTTACCACTGACCACACAAAATACAAATAACCATCACAGACTACTATGAAGACCCCTATGCACACAAACTAGAAAATTTGGAAATGATAAATAAATTCCTGGACACATACACCCTCCCAAGATGGAACCAGGAATAAATTGATTCCCTGAACAGATCAATAATGAGCTTCAAAATTGAATCAGTAATAAATAGCCTAACAATAAAAAAAAGTCCCAGGACCAGATGGATTCAGAGCCTAATTCGACCAGATGTGCAAAGAAGAGCTGGTACCATTCCTACTAAAACTACTTTTAAAAAGTTGAGGAGGATGGACTCCTCCCCAACTCATTCTGTGAGGCCAGCATCACCCTGATACCAAAACCTGGCAGAGACACAACAAAAAATGAAAACTTCAGGCCAGTATACTTGATGAACATCAATGCAAAAATCCTCAACAAAATACTTGCAAACCAAATCCAGCAGTGCATCAAAAAGCTAATCCACCATGACCAAGTAGGCTTCATCCCTGGGATGCAAGGTTGGTTCAACATATGAAAATCAATAAATGTGATTCATCACATAAACAGAACCAAACACAAAAATCACATAATTATCTCAATAGATACGGAAAAAGCTTTCAATGAAATTCAACATTTCTTGATGTTAAAAACTCTTAATAAACTAGGAACTAAAGGAACATACATTAAAATAGTTAGAGCCATCTATGACAAACCCACAGCCAACATCATAAATAATGGTCAAAAGCTGGAAGCATTCCCCTTGAAAACCAGCACAAGGCAAGGATGCCCTCTCTCATCATTCCTGTTCAACAGAGTATTGGAAGTTCTCGCCAGAGCAATCAGGCAAGGGAAAGAAATAAACGGTCAAATAGGAAGAAAGGAAGTCAAACTACCCCCGTTTGCATATGACATGATTCTATATCTAGAAAAACCCCATAGTTTTGTCTCAAAAGCTCCTTCAGCTGATAAACAACTTCAGCAAAGTTTCAGGATACAAAATCAACATACAAAAATTACTAGCATTCCTATACACCGATAATAGCCAAACCAAAAGCCAAATCAGAAAGGCAATCCCATTCACAATTGCCATAAAAAGAACAAAATACCTAGGAATACAGCTAACCAGGGAGGTGAAAGATCTCAACAATGAGGATCACAAAACACTTCTCAAAGAAATCAGAGATGACTTAAATGGAAAAACATTTCATGCTCATGGATAGGAGGAATCAATATCATAAAAAGCATTTTACAGATTCAATGCTTTTCCTGTCAAACTACTAGTGACATTCTTCACAAAACTAGAAAAAACTATTTTAAAATTCATATGGAACCACAAAACACCCAAATAGCCAAGGTAGTCCTAAGCAAACAGAACAAAGCTGGAGGCATCATGTTACCCGACTTCAAACTATATTACAGGGCTATGGTAGCCAAAATGGTATGGTACTGGTACAAAAACAGACACATAGACCAATGGTACAGAATAGAGAGCCCAGAAACAAGGCCACACACCTACAACCATCTGATCTTTGACAAAGCTGACAAAAACAAGCAATGGGGAAAGGACTCCCTATTCAATAAATGGTGCTGGGATAACTAGTTAACCATATGCAGAAGATTAAAGCTGGACCCCTTCCTTACAAAATAAGGAGCTGGACCCCTTATACAAAAATCAACTCAAGATGGATTAAAGCCTTAAATGTGAAACTATAAAACCCTGGAAGACAACATAGGCGATTCCATTCTAGACATCAGAACTGGCAAAGATTTCATGAGGAAGACACCAAAAGCAATTGCAACAAAAGCAAAAATTGACAACTGGGATATAATTAAGTTTAAGAGCTTCTGCACAGCAAAAGAGAGACTATCAGCAGAGTAAACAGACCACCTACAGAATGGGAGAAAATATTTGCAAACTATGCATGTGACAAAGGTCTAATATCTAGCATCTATAAGTAACTTAAACAAATTTACAAGAGAAAACCAAACAACCCCATTAAAAAGTGGGCAAAGGACATGAACAAATGCTTTTCAAAAGAAGACATACATGCATCTAACAAGTATATGAAACAAAGCTTAATCACTGATCATTAGAGAAATACAAATCAAAACCACAATGAGATACTATCCCATACCAGTCAGAATGGCTATTATTAAAAAGTTAAAAAAATAACAGATGCTGGCAAGGTTGCGGAGAAAAGGGAACACTTATACACTGTTGGTGGGAGTGCAAATTAGTTCAACCATTGTGAAAAGCAGTGTAGTGATTCCTTGAGGAGCTAAAAACAGAACTACTGTTTGACCCAGCAATCCCATTACTGGGTATATACCCAAAGGAATAGAAATCATTCTTTCATAAAGACAAATACAAGTTTATGTCTATTGCAGCACTATTCACAATAGTGAAGACACGGAATCAACTTAAATGCCCATTTAGCAGTGAATAAAGAAAATGTGGTACATATGCACTATGGAATACTATGCATCCATAAAAAAGAACAAGATTATGTCCTCTGCAGGAACATGAATGGACCTGGAGGCCATCATCCTTAGCAAACTAACGCAGGAACAGAGAACCAAATACTGCATAGTCCTACTTATAAGTGGAGCTAAATGATAACACATGGACACAAAGAGAGGAACAACAGACACTGGGGCCTACCAGGGGGTGAAGGGTAGGAGAAGGGAGAGGAGCAGGAAAAATAACTAACTAAAAATAACTTTTAGTTATTATTATAACTAATAAACTAACCAGGTGTAATAACTAGGCTTACACCTGGGTGATGAAATAATCTGTACAACAAACCCCTATGATTTGAGTTTACCTATATAACAAACCTGTACGTGTACCCCTGAACCTAAAATAAAAGTTAAGAAAAAGTTATACATGGTTTGGTGACAGTTACACTTCCAAGGAAAAAAAAAAGTTACATGTAGATCTTCGACTGTGTGGGGGTTATCAACCCTGTATTCAATTGTATTTGAATAAATTCCCAGGAGTGGGATACAGTGTTTACAGCTATACAATATAGCCTTTGATATGTGTTACCATATTGATTTCTTAAAGGATTGTAAGATTTACATCCTGTGGATTCTCTGTGGTTTAATAATTCAAAAGCCAAAGCAGGAGTGATAGTCATAATTTATTAACTAGGTGGGGCTTCAACCCATCTAAACCCAGGCCAGCTAGTCAGCCTGCCTGGCTGCACTGCCTGAATATCGTTGTGACTTAGCAAACTTTCAGTTGCCTCTAAGCCTCCCTTTCCCTCTATTTTCTGTTCTTTCAATCTGTTTTCTTTTTACTCTAGCTCTCTTCTGCTGCTTTAGCAAGATAGTAAAGCAATAGCTGACATTTTATTGAGTATTTACTCTGCCTTCATATATATTAGCCCACTTAACTCTTGCAACAACCCTATCAGGTGGCTTAGTCCCATTTTATAGCCATGAGCACCAAGGCTTGGAAGGCTAAGACACTTGCCCAGGCACACAGAGATGAACCATGACAGAGCTGAGATTCAAACCCAGGCTGTCTAGCTCCACAGGTTTTAGCTAGAAGGCTTCCCAACCTGTGGGGTGTTGGGGTACTGGGGGGTGTGGTAGCACCAGAGAGGGAGAGAGGCTAGAAGCCTAAAGGGGCTGAAGACGTGGTGTTTCAGGTTCTTTTTTGCTCTTTTGTTTCCTGCATTATTAAACTTTTTGATTAGCTTCTCCCAGTGTCATATTTATTTGCAGCTGTTAAACATTAGAAGACTTCAGAGGGGGATTTATTTAAAGCATAGTTATTAAAATGTCTATTTTGATTTAAGGATTTCTTCTGCTTTGTGTTACTCACTTGTCTCATATCTCTTTAATCTATAGTCATTTCTAATAAAGAACATTCAGAACCTACCAGCCAATGCATTTTAAGTGATTCTTGCCAAGTCGCATTGAAGTATATTATCTCTCAGCTGAATTATCACTCAGCTGCATCTCTGTCTTTTTATTGTTCATAAACTCTGCAATGTGTCCATTCAGGTCCATTACAAAGTCATCTATGGATTTGGAGACTATACCTTGTTTATAGTATCCTATATTCTCCTGCCTAGAAGACGTCTCTGATTATTTTCCCCTTTAATGCTCAATTGGTTTTCAATTGAATTTTCACAAACTAGGCTGTAGATGTGGATCTTTGAAGTGGGGATTGATGATGGCTATTTTGGAGAATTTGAGGGTTGGAAGGTCTGTTTCTGGTTGTAAACCCCATAGATCCGTGAAAGAAAATGATAGACCGGATGTTTTCCCCGGATATGTCTCCTGGAAGTTTTCCTCAACAACCTTGGGCATAAAGAGAGAACTATGGGAAGTAAGGAATAGATAGAGTGGGAAATGCCCTATCTTTGTTGAGTTCCTTCAAACCAGAGACTCAGGCAAGAAATTGAGTGAGGACAGCGGGAGAGAGTCAGGAGAGTGAAACAGGGAAGGAGGACAAGTCAACATGAGGGGGTGTGTCCAAGGTCACCGATGTAGGCTGGATCTTTGAGAAGTATATAGAATGCCTTCTAGAATCTTCCACCTGAAAGATAGGTTGGAATATTTAGCCCTGTAGCTCCAGTCCCCTGTTGGGCAAGGGTTGCTCCTGGCATAAAAATGCCTCCAGCCTGTACTCCTGGGTGTGCCTGCCTGCAGGACAAGGAGGCTACTTTAGTGTTGGAGAGAGAGCCAGGTGAAGGTGAGCTCCTGGGAACTATCCATGTCAGTTGCATGGCTGACATCACAGGTGAGCCAGTGGCAAGTAAAACAGTCATCAGAGGTTTCCTTGACACAGCCACAAAATGAGATGAAGCCTCTAAATTTCAAAATCTATCTACAGCCTTCCCACTTCTCCCACCTCCACCACTATCACTCTGGTCCAGGCACCTTCATCTCTCACCTAGATCAACTGGTCTCCTTGCTCCCTCACTTGCCTTCTTATATTCTTTCTGCCTTAATCACCTCTTAAAATACGAATCACTTTATATCATTCTTCTGCACAAAAATCCGCCAATAGCTTCCCATCGTCCTAAAAATACATATAATACAAAATTCTTATCGAGCCCATGGTTCCTTCACCAGCTTCACTGCCTGTAACTCTTTTGCTTGTTCATTCTGTTCCAGCCACACAGTCTTTCTTATCCTCAAACATGCCAAGAATGATCATCTCCTGTTTTTCCCCTTCAGCAGGGGTATAGTGTTCCCTCCAGTTTCACTTGGCTTGCTGCTGCCTCTACTTCCTCAGTGAAGACTTCCCTGACAACCCTTCCTAAATTAGCAATCCCTTCCTCTCTAACTACCCTTATCCAGATTTATTTTTCTTTATAGCACTTTTTATCATAGGTCATGAGCTTGTATATTTATTACTTTGTTTATTCATTATTTCCACTAGAATAAAATTCCATGAAAATAGCAGTTCACTATTTTATCTCCATCACCAAGAATAGGCCCTTCTGGCTGGGCACGGTGACTTGTGCCTGTAATCCTAGCACTTTGGGAGGCCGAGGCGGGTGGATCACTTGAGGTCAGGAGTTCAAAACCAGCCTAGCCAACATGGTGAAACCCTGTCTCTACTAAAAATAAAAAAATAAAAAAATTAGCTGAGTGTGGTGGCATGCGCCTGTAATCCCAGCTACTTGGGAGGCTGAGGCAGGAGAATTGCTTGAACCAGGGAGGTGGAGGTTGCAGTGATCCGAGATCACGCCATTGCACTCCACCAACCTGGGTGACAGAGCGAGACTCCATCTCAAAAAAAAAAAAAAAAAAAAAAGTAGTCCCTGGTACATCATAGATTCTCAATAAATATTTGTTTAATGAAATGAATAAAAGAGTGATTCAGAAAGCATGATGCTTCTTCATTCAAATTCTCTCCTGAAATTCTCCCATTAATGTGATCACCTGGGTCACCCGAGGAGCATTACTTCTGTGTATAATTACTCATTTATGTCAATGCAATGATACCCCCATTGGAGCTGGTAGCCTGAGGTAGGTAGGAAGTAGGTGGTACCTGCAGGGGCACCAGGGAGGCATGGGCCTGGGGCTACTTCAAACACTTACAAATCTACTGCCAGTTTGGCACCAGCCATGCTGGATGGGTGGGTGAGAGCCAGGGTTAGTACTGGCAAATTCTATGCTTCTTGCCTCTTTTCTAACTCTTTCCTTTCTCCCACCTGCTCAGGAAATGAGAGGGAGGGAGAAGCTACACCATCTGGGGCTGTGGGAAGGTCTGGCAGAGAGAAGGAACTTGACAGTGACAGTACTTGGGAGGCTCGACTTCTTCTTGCTGTATCCAAGGACTGACTGAAACAACACAGGCAAGGGCCATTTATGGAAGTATGCACAGCATTGCAAGAATGTGCTTTTGGGAATTTTGACAGAAATCTACATTTTGAAGGAGACATGATATTCATGTTAGGAAACAAATTCTCTCTCTGTGCCCCTTTTTTCTTTAACCCCACACCAGGTGCGCTTTTGCCAACACCAGGGAGATTCAGTATTTCCCTGAGTAGTGCCCCAATATCCTAATTCCTCCACATTTTTCTCTTTAAAACTTACCTGTGCCCAGGCAGCGGATCACATGGTCAAGAGATTGAGACCATCCTGGCCAACATGGTAAAACCCTGTCTCTACTAAAAATACAAAAATTAGCTGGGTATGGTGGTGGGCATCTGTAATCCCAGCTACTTGGGAGGCTGAGGCAGGAGAATTCCTTGAACCCAGGAGGCAGAGGTTGCACTGAGCCGAGATTGTGCCACTGCACTCCAGCCTGGCGACAGAGCGAGACTCCATCTCAAAAAAAAAAAAAAAAAAAAACAAACAAACAAAAAAAAAACAAACCCACAAAACTTACCTGTGCCCTTTAAGGCTCTGTTGATGTTTCAATGGGAAAAGGCCAGGCCCTATTCTCCTACTCAAGTGACAATATAACAGGGACATTCTAGAAACAACACTCCCAACTACCTTTCCTAAGTCAAATAAGTGATTCTAAATATGGACTTCCAGGTTAGTGGGGAGAAAGGATGGGCCACTGGAGAAGGAAATTTGGAGCTTGCAAAACTTCATGGTGTTGGCACTTGTCTTTTTTGTGGACAGGCTCTGGGACCTGACTCCCAGGGTTGAAATCCTGGTTCTGCCATTCGATTAGTTGTGAGACATTGGGGATTTGTTAACCTGCTTGTGCCTCAATTTTGTGCCCATGCCTCCCTGGTGCCCCTGCAGTTACCACCTACTTCCTACTCACCTCAGGCTACCAGCTCCAATAATAAGGGGTCTCACTGCATTCTCATCACATTGACATAAATGATTAATTATACACAGAAGTAATGCTCCTCTGGGTTACCCAGGTGATCACATTAATGGGAGCATTTCAGGAGAGAATTTGAAGGAAGAGACATCATGCTGCCTGAACCACTCATTTATTCATTTCACTATGCAAATATTTATTGAGAACCTGTAATGTCCCAGGAACTATTCTTGATGGTGGAGATAAAATAGTGAACTGCTATTTGCAGTTCACTGTTTTGAAATTTTATTTTGAAATTTTATTCTAGAGGTAAAAATGAACAAAATTTTCTGTAAAATGGGGATAATAACTGGACCTTCCTCATACAGTTGGTGTGAGTGTTAAATGAGAGTAACTGAACCTGTCTTGTGGGGTTGGCATGAGCATCAAATGAGTTAATGTGTGTGAAGTGCTTAGAACAATGCCTATGGCACAGTAAGCTTCCAAAATGATGACAATGATGAGTCCAGGAACTCACAAAGAGAACTCACAAAGAGCCACAATTCCTACCAGTGACTTTGCCTTTGTAAAAATCTTTTACCCAGTTCCTGCGTATGACACTGCCTTCAAACTGTTTTTGGTGGGGAGAATCAAAATCTATTACTTTCCCAAAACCTCCTGTGACTCTACTTATTGTTGATAAGAGAATGAAGTTCCTTGGTGGGGCACTCAAGACTCTCCAATTTGTCCTCAGCTATGGATTGATGATTTTTATGGTTACAAGTGACAGAAAGCAATTTGGACTGGCTAAACATTGAGAGAATGTGTTGTCTCTTCCATCATGGCAACATCTAAGTGTATAAATGTGCTGGTCTCTCTCGGTGGTGAGCACTCTCCTCAGAGAGACTCAGAAATTCCAGACTTACGTTATCCTCACAGCTAGTGATCTCATGGAAAGAGATTGACTCTTTCCTAAAATTCCAACAAAATTCTTGGGATTTAGTCTTGGCACATTGGTTGACTTGAGTTCTGTGCTCAGCTCTAAACAAATCATTCCATCCAAGAAGATAAAGGTAGTGATTGGCCAAGTCATGATCACAGGCCCCACTCTGAATCCAGCAGTGGGGTCAACTCTACTTTTCAGATCCTAAGAATAGATGGGCTTCCCTAAGGGAAAAGAGTTACTATGACAAAGAGAATAGAGAGTGAATACTGAGTAAGCAAAAGTAACAGATGTCCACCACAACCTATCCTTCCTGCATTACTTGTTCTTTGAACACATGCTGCAATTTTCTATTTCCTGCCCTTGTACGTGATGTTTTCCTTTGCTTAAAATATCTATCTGACACCTCCACCTATCAAATGTTCAAAGTCCATTTTAAACAATACTCCCTTTATGTAACCTACTTTTAGACAATCATAAATTATTACCTTTATTACAGCCCTTGTCATCATCCAACTTGTATTATATTACATTGTGTATGTCCCTTTCTTCTCTCGTTGGATTGTAAACTCTTTAAGGGAGATAATCATGGCTCATGCAGCATTGTACAGTTGCACATTATTTGGATATCAGTGAATATCCTCCACCATGTGAAAAGCTTTGAGTCGGCTGTAAGGTATCATAATAAAGTTAGTTGTGGTTATCATTATTTTCTAGTACCATGTCTTCCACAATGCAATTTTTAAATAAATATTTGAGTGGTTTCCCAGAATATCTTAAGTATAATCAGAAGTGATTTTGAGCAGTCTCCATATTCACTCTACCTCTTTCTAAACCCAAGATTAACATTATTCAGGTGCAGAAATGTGCCTTCTTTCAAGATGCTCCAGGCATCTGGGCCAAGCAAACAGAGCTGTGAGTTTATTTTTTGTCTGCATTTAGATTAGGCTCTTTGGCATTGCTTTAGTTTTATTCCTTAGCAACCTTTTACATTTTAATAATCTCTTATATCTTATCGACCTAAATCAAAGGCAGAGCTTCAAGTTTTTAAAGAGTCTTTCTAAGGCCAGTGGGTACATATTTACTTGCCCCTGGATGGTTTGACAGCCTCTAGTAAGCATACCTGTTACTAGCCAGCACTGGTCCCCCAGTGCTAACCAGGCCTGTGAGCTCAGCTGGACCCTGGTGACTTTGTCTTCCCTCATTTATCTATTCAGAGACTGTAGCCCATTCACCAACCTTGCAAACGAATGTCACTGCAGACAGAAAGGTTGGCCTCTGGCAAAGCTTGATGTGGGCTACCACTCTTCCCCTGTCTTCCATTTTCCTCCATTTTATACACTCCCTTCCTTTCCCAAGAGATGCATACAGTATACTACCCTCTGGCTGCCTGGGGCTTCATTCTGGGAATCCCATCTGGATCTCCATTTTCTTCCCTCTCTCTGTTTCCTCCTCTTCTGTTCATAACAATGCCACTTGGTGACCCTTTGGGGTCAATCATCTTTTATTAGATTAGTTATTAGTTATAATCAATGAGCTATAGTTATTCATGACTTGATGCATCAACCCTTCTAGATCAAACATTTAATTCACACTTCTTAGCAGGATGGCTAGAAACAATTGTCAGCTCAAAGAAAAGGCAACCACGGAATGAGTCTCAGGCCGCAGAGTAGCTGTGGGAAAGGCCTGGAGAAGACTGAGAGTTGGAGGAGGACAGGGTGAGGCATACTTTTAGCAGTGCTTTATGGTAAATAGAACACCCTTGAAAAGAGCAGGCAAAAAATATTGAGAGACTGAAGCAGAAGCAGAATATACCCATCAATAGTTAGACAGGAAACTCCTTGAAATCATCGGCTTCTAGCTCCTGGTAAGCTAATGGTACTGCCCCCATTTATATTTTAAGAGGTAGGAACTTGGGGTTTGTTGACAAAATTCAACAGGGGATAATATTTTTGGCCAATTTTGACTTTTCAGGATAGTTATTGCTGTTTTTTTGTTTTGTTTTGTTTTGTTTTGTTTTTTTAAGACATGGTGCCTCTCTCTGTCACCCAGGCTGGAGTGCAGTGGTGCGATCATAGCTCACTGGAGCCTCAATCTCCCAGGCTCAACCAATCCTCCTGCCTCAGCCTCCTGAGTAGCTAGGACTATAGGCATGTGCCACCATAGTTGATTAAATTTTTTTTTACATTTTTTTGTAGAGACAAGGTCTTACTATATTGCCCAGGCTGGTCTCAAATTCTTTGCTAGCCTTAATCAATACCACTTTAAACCATGCGCTTGTGTGCTTTGCATTTATCATCCCATTTGGTCCACATCAGCGTTCTGAGGAAGTCAGTGACAGAGATGACCCCATTTTGCAGATGAGAAGGCTGAGACTCAGAAAGGTTGGCTTATATTTCCCAAGGTTTCCTAACAAGCACATTGTAGAGTTAATATTCAAATCAAAGTGTCTGACTCCCAAGCCTTTGCTATATTCTCATTCAATCCTGTCAAAACAGACAACTGAAGCAGTTTCCAACTTCTTATATACAGGTCTCTCCATAACTGACTTATCTGCAAACAGATTTTTGAGCATGTTCAATGTGTAATCTTTGTTCATTGTTGAGGATACTAAAATACGTAGCAAGTGCCCTGGGACTAGTATGAGGGAGCGGTGAGCCCTGGCGGGGGAAATGAAAGTGTTTCACAGAGGCTGATACATTTGAGCCTAGTGATAAAGGATGAGCAGGAGTTTGGTGGGCAAAAAAAGAAAAAGATGCTTTGTTTCTCTTTTAGACTCTACAAACATACCCAGTGTGGGAAGGGGAGTATATGGGATGGCAAATGGTGCTATTCTTGTGATCTACCCAGTTTGATGTCCCTAGAAGGGGCTTGTGAGCTCTATGGTGGGGTGGGTTGTAGGGAGTTACAAATAGATCCACGGTGACATACACAGTAAGGAACAGAATGGGGAGCCTGGAATCTGCAAAGGGAGAATAAGAAACAATAATGGAGATGTGGTTTTTTATCTAGACTTTGGGGAACAGAGATATGAGGAAACAGATTATGAGGAAGGTGATTTAGGTCAAAACAACAGTGGAGGAGGGCTAAACTAAAGCAAAGACACTTAGGCAGAAGTTTGAGGGAGATTGCCCTGGTCTATTGGTTTTAATGGGGAAAAAGCTCACTAGCTTGCACAAAGTGATATTAATCAGTAACAAACCCCCAAAGTCCAGATATCAAACCATAGGAGGACTGTTAGGTAAAAGGTGGTGTATGATATGGTTTGAATGTATGTCCTTGCCCAAATCTCATGTTGAATTGTAATCCCCAGTGTTGGAGGTTGGGCTTGGTGGGAGGTGTTTGGATCATGGGGACGGATCCCTCATGGATGGCTTGGGCCATCCCCTTGGTGATAAGTGAGCTCTCACTTTTGAGTTCTCGCAAGATTTGGTCATTTAACAGTGTGTAGCATCTCCCTGCCACTCTCTCTGTCTCTTGCTCCGTTCTTGCCATGTGATGTGTCTGTTCCTCCTCTGCCTTCTGCCCTGATTGGAAGCTTCCTCAGGCCTCCCCAGAAGGAGATGCCAACATGCTTTCTGTACAGCCTGCAGAACCATAAGCCAACTAAATCTCTTTTCTTATAAATTACCCAGTCTCAGGTATTTCTTTATAGCAATGCAAGAATGACCTAACACTGTATATTAACTTAACTGAATTTGATACAGCTGTTAAGAACAACTGCTTGGGAACATAAAAACTGCCAACATTCAAATGGCACAGTACAACATTATATTCATACTCCAGGTATCCACAGGAACTAGAATATATAAAATTGGAAGTGATTGTGTTGGTTGGGATAACTGTTTTTATTTTTCACAATTCAAAAGGAAGAGGTTATCTCAAAGTGATTTTTCTGAGGGCCTGTCATTACACTGAGAGTAATAATAACCACCATTTGTTGAGTGCAGCGTGTGTGTCAGACACTGTTCTGTTTCATGGATTATCTCATTCAGTCTTCACAGCAGCCACAACAGGTGAGTATGGTTATTGGGTGATGGTTGCTGAGGTCTCTTGCCCAAGATCCCACGGGTAGAATTAGGATGTAAACCCAGGAAGCTGGACGTCAGAGTTCATGCTTTTTACTACTGTGCTATATACTGCTTCACCTTAACCATATGAAAAAGTCATTTTGATATGAACAGTCTTGCTAGGACATTCAGAATGGCCTAATGTCATTCTGAATTCTTCTCTAGGGAAACAATGTTGGAAAAGTGTCCCCTGAAGAAAGCATAGGGCCAGCGGGCATAACACAAGCCTGCACCTGAGGAAAGCTAGATTCACCATTTAGTTTCACTATGGAATGGCCCAGCTAATTTGAGAAATTTCATGGAGCTCTTGCCTCCAAGAAATTATTTAATCTCTCTGCATACTGCAGTAGCTCCTTTTATATGCAAACCCCATGTATTGAGTAATTCTTAACAAGATGGACTTTTCTCTGTTAGTTGAGGTAAAACAATCAATTACCAGCAATAGATTTAGAACCAAACAGAAAGCGTGCACTTTAAAGAGTCCCTGGACAAACTCTGCTCAATATTGTTCCAAAAAGCTGTCTCAGGTACACAAAGGCAAGCTCTGGCTGTATGCTCCAATGAAGTGTTACTAGATGCTTTAAGATGTGGTCATTTGTGACAAAAGCAGAATCTTACATTCTGTAACTCTTTACAAGAATCTAACAGCACTTTCATAGATGTGATTTCAATTGGTCTTTGTTATGGGCTGAATTGTGTCCCCTTAAAGTTCAAATGTTGAAGTCCTAACCCCTAGCACCTCAGAATGTGTGTGGCCTTATTTAGAAATAGAGTCGTTGCAGACATATTTAGTGAAGATGAGGGCACACTGGAGTAGGGTGGACCCCAAATCCAATAGAGCTGGCGTTCTTATTTAAAAAGGGAAATTTGGAGACAGACATGCAGGGAGAATGCCATGTGGAGATGAAGGCAGAGATCGGGTGGTGTAGCAGAAGTCAAGGAACACCAAAGGCTGCCAACAAGCCTCCCGGAGCTGGGGAGGAGGCTGGGAACAGATTCTCCCTAACAGCCCTCAGAGGGAACCAACCCTGATCTAGGACTTCCAGCCTCCAGAACTGTGAGAAAAATACATTCCTGTTGCTTAAACCACTCATTTTGTTGTGGCAGCCCTGGGAAATTAATGGAGTCTCCAAAAGCAGACTCTTGGGGTAGGTAAACTATTACCTTCTCTCTATTATATAAATCTAGTCAACACTTTGTAAGTTCATAAAAAGTATCAAGCACTATATAGGTATGAACTCAATACTCACAACTCTCCCATGGGGTAAATGATTCGATTCTTCTCTCCCTTTTGTAGACAGAAACCAAGGCGCACAGAGAAATTAAATAACCCACCCTGGGTGCCCCAGCTAAGAAGCACTGAGGCGAGGATTGCTCACAGATTTATAGCTAAGTGCTCTTTTCACGACGCCATGTTGCCTTCGTGAAAGACAAAAGCCTGGGAAAGCTATGCTTGTGGAAAGATGGAAACGAAATGACAAAGACATGAGGGTTGATAAGGAAGTGGAATTTGTGGGCAGGATGAGACGTGGGGATAGAGGCTGGTGACAGGAAAATGAAACATCTGGGGACACATTTTCCAAAATGTATTTCATGGAAAACCCTTGCCCTGAGATGCTGCATGGAAAAATGGTTCCTGACTTTAAGGGGGGAAACACTGCTGACTCTCTCTCCCACTCAGAGATTCACAGTGCCATTAGCATTTCAAAGACTCTGACAAGTATTGCAGAAAAGAGCGCATATTTAGCTTTGTTTTACCCAGCATTCCTCAAACTTACTTAACCATTCTTTTAATCCTATTTATCTTTAATGTTTCCAAACAAGTCATGTGGATTAGAGAGAGGAGCTGGAGTAAGGAGACCCAGAGATGCCTATAGATAGGTGTTAACATTCTAACGTTATTTAGGTTCTTCTTTCAGCCCCATTGTTTCTTTCCTTTTCAAAGCAAGACTCTTAAATATTCACTTATTTTTAAAAATTAACCATCAGACATACAAATAGCATATGGAGACTAATATCAGAAAGGCACTTATGTTATACCACCCAGCTTAAGAAATATAACATTATGGATACAGTTGAGGCCTCCTGCGGACCTTTCCCCATTACCTTCTCTTCTTTATAACCTGACCTCCTCCCTAGAGGTGTTTTGCAGTATTATCCTGAATTTTTACTTTATCATCCTATGTATGTCTTTATGCTTTTATTATACATGTGTGTATTCTTAAGCAATATAGTGTGGTTTAATAGGGTCTTAAACTGTTATCATATTGCATATGCCTTCTGTAACTTGCTTTTTATCTAACGTTATACTTGTGAGTGTTTTTCATGTATGGCTATATTAGCTCTAGTTCATTCATTTTTACTGTAGTGTAATATTCCCCTGTATGACTATGCCAATATTATTTATCCATACTATGTATAGACATTTAGGATGTTTACCATTTTTCTATTACAAATAGCACTGCAATATATATTCTCATGCATGAATTGAGAAAAATATGTAACGCTTTCTCTAAGATATAGACATGGAATGGCTGGGTTATAGGGTATGTGCATATTCAACTTTCCTAGATTCCTAGATATTACCAAATTGTTCTCCAAAGTAGTTATGCTAATTTCAGTTCCTACCCACTGTGTATGAGGGTTCCAGTGGCTCCACATTAACTCTTGATATTGCCAACCTGCGTAATCCTTGGCAAATTAAAAGATGTGAAATTATATTTTATTATGGTTTTTTTTGTTTTTTTTTTTTTTTTCGAGACAGGGTCTCACTCTGTTGCCCAGGCTGGAGTGCAGTGGTGTTATCTTGGTTCACTGCAGCCTCTGCCTCCTGGGTTCAAGCGATTCTCCTGCCTCAGCCTTTGGAGTAGCTGGGATTACAGGTGACCACCACCATGCCTGGCTAATTTTTGTATTTTTAGTAGAGACAGGGGTTTCACCATGTTAGCTAGGCTGGTCTGGAACTCCTGACCTCAAGTGATCCACCCGCCTCGGCCTCCCAACGTGCTGTGATTACAGGCCTGAGCCACCATGCTGGGCCTATTATGGTTTTAATTTGCATCTGCCCAGTAACTAACTAATGAGATTGATCATTATATTATGTGCTTGTTGGCAATTTAGGTTTCCTCTTCTGTGTACTTCCTCTTCCTTTGCACATTTATTTTTGTTTATTTTTTCTAGTAACTTATCTTTTTCTCATTAACTTTTGAAAGTTCTTTCTTAGTTCTCAATACTACCTTTTCTCAATTACTTGCTTTATAAATATCTTCCTGAAGACTGGAGCTCTCTTTTCACTTTTTGGAAATTTTTTGCATAAAAGTTTTAAATTACAATTTAATTCAACTTATCTATGTTTTAATTATAGTTTATACCTTTTGTATCTTGTTTAAGAAATCTTTCCCCACAGTCAAGCTGTAGAGGTACTCTAGTATATTGTCTTCTAAAAGTTTTAAAGTTTTGCCTTTTACGTTTAGATCTTATAAACTTGAGATTAATTTTTGTGCATGATATGAGGGAAGGAACCATTTCCCCTACCACCCCTCCAATATGGAGAGCCTCTTGTTATAGAACCATTTGTTAAATAGTCTACCATTTTCTCCACAGAGACTTTGCAACACTCTCTTTGTCATTATGATATTTTATTATCATACGAGTCTCTTTTGGGTCATAATACCATATCCTTATTCTGCTTATCTATTTCTACACCAATATCATACTGAATTAGTTACTATAGCTTTATAATAAGTTGATTTCTGGTATGGTTGGTTAATTGCACTGACAGATAAAATTAATGGCTCACTTGGATCTATGCCCTTAGCAATATAACTTTACAGCTCATACTATGAAGAAGTTGAGTCTCTTTCTCCATCCTTTGAATCAGGACTGAATTTGCTACAAAGAATGTGGTAGAAATGACTGTGCCTGTTCCAGACATAGTCCTCAAGGCCCTACATGTTCCCATCTCTTTTGGAACTCTGCCTCCACTATGAGAAAAAGCCCAGGTTAGTATGCTGAAGTGTGCTGAAAGAACACATGAAGCAGGGTGGAGCCCATCCATGCTAAGACCATCCTAGACTGGCCAGTGCCCACCCAACCTACCAGCTGCTCATGTGAGTGACCAGAGTCAAAATAGCCACACTTGATTCAGAACACCATAACTGCAATACCAACCTTATACTCATGGCCGGGCACAGTGGCTCATGCCTGTAATCCCAGCACTTTGGGAGGCCAAGGTGGGCAGATCACGAGGTCAAGAGATTGAGACGACCCTGGCGAACATGGTGAAACCCCATCTCTACTAAAAATACAAAAATTAGCTGGGCGTAGTGGTGTGTGCTTGTAGTCCCAGCTACTCGGGAGGCTGAGGCAGGAGAATCGCTTGAACTCGGGAGGTGGAGGTAGCAATGAGCCGAGATCGCGTCACTGTACTCAAGCCTGGCAACAGAGTGAGACTCCATCTAAAAAAAAAAGAAAAGGAAAAAATAAGCCAAAATAAATGCTTATTGTGCTATGCTACTGGGGCTTTGTGGTTGTTTGTTCCACAGCATAATGATGTTAAAAGATGACTGAAATATAGGGCAAGTCCCATAACTTATTCTGTTATTCAAAACCATCATAGTTGATCATGGCCTTATGTGTTTCCACATATGCATTTTAGATTTGGTTTGTCAAATTCCATGACCTGGTTTAACCCTTTTATACATAACTCAAATCCTAGGGTGCATTTTTTGCAGCATAGAACCCCTTCTAAGATTCCACCTTACATTATCCTCAAAGGTGAAGTTAACTAGACCATTTGTGGCTCCATTTTTGATAAGGTATTAATTTATTTGTATTTGCTTCGTCATATTATAATATCATTATCATGAGATGAAGGTTCTGTTGCCAAGGCAACCAAAAGTGATACATGAGCTTTCAGCTTTATCTAAAACCTTAACTATCTTTGGCCGTATTCCATGTACTTTCTTGGCTCTCTTGCCTTCATTCCTGAGGTTGAAAGAATGGACTATTCTACAATTCTGTCAGCGTCTTATGTTTTATATCTGTTCCCACCTCTACACACATCAGCATTCTCATCAATCTCTAAATTTACTAACTTAACTCACTTATTTTCTACTATTTATCCTTGAGAGCGCCTCTCCTTCTGTACAATGCTGAACAACATTCATTCAACATACATATAATGATTACCTAACATGGGCCTGGGCTCAAAAGTCCCAGGTCACAAAAGTAAATGAGACAGATGGAGCCTCCACCCTTCCATAAATAAGAAAAATAAGTTGGTGTTAGCTAGAGTTGGGGAAGGGCGCATCAGACAAAGAAAACAATATGTGATAAAACCCTGAGGTTTCTAGTAGGACAAGGAGTTTTAAAGGAGGCAATGTGGCTGAATATGAGTGTGTGAGAGTGAGAGGCACTTGAGATGCATCTGGAGAAGCAGTCAAGGGGAAAATCACAGTGGGCCTCGCAAGGTATCTGCACCACCTGTTGAGGAACGGAGTTGTAAAGGTCTGAAATGGGTAAGTCATCCAATAAAAGCTCATTTCTCTCCCTAGCCATGTGCTCCAATTAGTAGTAGAGGAAACCCACCATCATGGGTGTCTGTGGGTGCTGCACTCACACCAGGGAAGTCAGAAGTCTATCTTGGTAGCATGTCAGCCAACAAGCCTTACCTCCTTAGCCAAGGAGGGGCTGGGGGTCTAAGCTGAGCCAAACAGAGTTCCTCTGGGGAAATCTTGATGGTGTAACAGCCAGAGGAAAACATGACTTGGTCAGATTCATTTCACTGACAGCACAGTTACTGAACACAGTGTGTTCATTGGTCCTTGGAGCATACCTCCCAGGCCACTTCAGATCTAGATCCATGTGACATCTTGCTGAGATGGGGAAGAGACTCTTTCTCCCCCACCATCATGGGTTTCTTCAGGTGCTGCACTCACACCAGGGAAATCAGAAGTCAAGCGCAGGGGCATGGTTCTGTAGCATCACTCAATCTGGGGGATTATTCCACACACAGTAGGTCTCTCTTAATCATCTTCTTTAGGACTGGAAAGCCAGTGAGCCCCATGCATGTCCAGCAGATAACTGGTATCAGAGCCTCTGACATGGATAAGAGTAGATATATCTTTCCATAGAGATTCATTAATCTGGGGTCAGGCATGGGAAAACCAACCATGGTTTTACTGTCCCTAGCTTCTTTATTAGCTTCCTGTCACTTTTTGGTATCTTCATCCTCATTTTTTTTCTATCAGGTTCCCCAATTTCTCTTTAACTCCGGATTTTCTAATAACAAGCATACTCTCAGGAAATAGGGTATGTTGTATAGAGCATTTAAATATCGGTCATAGGGTGTAGCTAATCTGTGGCTTTTTGACCCCAGTTTTTAGAGCTGGGGTTTCTGATTCCCCCACTTACCTAATATGAAGAATTCTGAGTGAGCGAGTGTGTTTATTGGGCATTTATTGTTTTTGCCTGCCCGGCATCATTTCTTTCTCTCCTGGTAATGCCAGGACCCTGATTTCTCCTTTAAGGGCTGGCTCCTCTCCATAGCTTATTCTATCTTGGTGGCACATCAGCTAACAAGCCTTACCTCCTTAGCCATGGAGGGGCTGGGGGTCTAAGCTGAGCCAGAGTTCCTCTGGGGAAATCTTGATGGTCTAACAGCCAGAGGAAAACATATCTTGGTCAGATTCATTTCACTGACAGCACACAAAGAAATTGTGCCCACTAGGAACTAGTTCCTGCTATCTAGTGCCCAAAGCAGCTCCATTTCCTCTCCCACTCAATTTTCTTCCATTAAATCCCCAGTTTGCTTAAATTAGAAGCTAAGAAACAACTTAGCTTCTGTTGTTTGCAATGGGAGAAAAGTTCAACTCACAAAGTGCATGTGTGCATTTTTCTGGGGTATGGAATTCTTCAAGTTCTCAAAGGCATCCATAATCCAGAAGGGTTAAGAATCACTAGGTTAGATGATCATATCTGCCTTTGAGGAAGGATTGAATACATGCACCCTTGCAAATTAACAGGTGCTTGAGTCACTGAACTAAAAATTGTGGAATTTCTGGCATCCTCTGGCAAAGCAGAGTTATTTTTGGCAGAATGGATGTTTCTCAGGAACTTATAACATAATTGTAGAAATCCCCTAAATGAAAAGGCTAGTCCTGCCTTTACCCACAGTTGAGGTTTGCTTTCTGATCAAAGATACTCCTTTGCCACCACCTCAACCCATACTTGTTCTCACAGCATTTTTCTCTCCAGTCAAAAGAGCTCTTTCAGTGCACAGAAAAGTTAACAGCAACTATGGGAGTTAGGGTGGAATAAGTTAAGTCTGTCTCTAGGTCAGCATTTTCTCAAGTACCAAGTAGGATGCCCGAAAGGGTACGGGAACGTTGGGGCTCCAGAAACTCGGTCCAGCTTAGAAAATCAAAAGCACTTTTTCTATCTTTCCCTAGCTTTTGAAGTTATTAGAAGCCAAGTCTACTATTAAGTAAAATTGGATGGTTTTTTTGTTACAATTCTAAAATTAAAGGCTTTCAAAAAGAAAAAAGGAAAGAACAGGCAAGTAGAAACACTTTTGTGTCCAAACCACTAAAACGGGAAGCAGTTCCAATGTATACCCAACTTTTTGTTCCTATGTCATCCCAATGTGCCTTTTCCCACCGGAAAAATTATTTCAGCCTTATGCGAGGAACATCATTTTAAATTTTGGGTAGCTGTTTTGCATATTGCTATTTAATCATGGGCACACACCACACACACACACACACACACATACACACACACACACGAGAGAGAGACACTCGCTCACTCTCCTAAGTTCTCCTTCTGTATTTGCTTCCTTATCACTTGAAGTGAGGTGAGTTCAAAAACTTAAGTTTCTTTGTCTTAGTCTGCATCCAGAATCAAACTGTTGGCAACAATGGTGACATCATAAACTGATCTTGGTTCCTTGAAGAAAATGCTGCTGGGATGTCATAGAAGGCAGAGTGGGCAAATCTGATTGGTAACAGTGAGAGTTGAGTTTGAATAAGGACTTAGAAGCAGAGTAAAGCAAATGCTCATTTTAAGCTGAACTCACACTGGTCTCTCATGGGAAGGGGAAGCAGCAGCATTGTGTTCAACCACCATCATTTTCCAGTAATAGGACCCAAGGCCCACTGATTTTCAGAAAGAGAGTGTGATGGCAGCAGCCATTTAGTTGCCCTTGCCATCTCTTCTAACTCAGAAGGTTAATCATTAATTGTTTTAAAAAGCCATCTCACATTTCATCAGAATATTTTCCTTAATATAAATTTGTCATTTAATGCTAAGTATCAAGCAGTGCTGGACAGTCTACTGCACACTATTAGATGATAGCAATAAAAGAATACACGTTCTGGTTGGATGAGTAAAACCTTACCCAATAAGTAATTTTCATTCATAGCTTCTATTAATAGTAACAAAGCCAGTTATTACTTGCTGGGCAACTGGTACATTATACAGACTATGAAGGTGCTGCACATATGTGAGCTTAAATCCTTCCAGCAACCTAGGATGCCAGCTAGGCATGGTAGAGAACAGCTTGGCTTCCATGAAAAACCATGAGTTGTTTAGCACTCACCTTTCCCGTTTATCTCATTCTGATTCTATGGGGGACTTGGTGCCTTTCATTACCTTTGATGGTTATAGATAACCTACATGAAAGTGATTCTTGTCTGTAAGATACATAAATATATAGTATCCAAATGGAACTAAATTTAATTCTCCACCCCTTAACCCTCCCAACAGAAAAAGCCAGTTTCTGCCTATTTGTAAACTCATTTCAACATTCCTTTATATAAATTTGTGTTTCTTTTTACTTCTTCTTTGAACCAAATTTAACATTTGCCTGTTAAACAATATCTTTAGCATGTGCTCATTTTATATCTGTAGGAGGATCAGGATTTTGCATTTATATGTATACTTTAACAATATTATTAGCTCCATTTTACAGATGAAGATATTGAGGCTCAGAGTAAGATGACTTGCTGGGAACCATTAATGATGAAATGACCTGGCCAGGGTGAAACCCCTGTATGTTCTGACCCTACGGCCTATGTGCTTTCTTCTAATTGTGCATCTGCTCTATGCCAGGCGTGTGCTAAGTGTGTGGGAATATTATTTTAAGTCATTTAGATATTAGTGGCCTTTACTATCCTGAAATTATAGAGTTATAAAATCTCCATGATAATTTTATAGCTATGTGTGAGATAAAAATCAAGGCAAGAAAAAAAAAAAGGCAGAAGAAAAATCCCTAACAGTTGGAGAAAGGAGGATAATGGAGTGGTAAGAATACAATGGAATTAATCTTGGAAAGCTTTTTGGAAGTTTCTTAATTTGCATTGTCTAAATGGAAAAGGCATAAAAAAGAAGCCTGAAGAGTAAAGCCAACAACTTGTAAACTTGTGTCCTGAAGCTTCAAGTACTGTCGCTTAAGAAATAAGCAAGGAAATAGGATACCACTGCTTGTACATCTGTTATCTAACAGTGTAAAAAAAAAGTGACAAATGAGATGAGAACCTAGTCTAATCTCTTAATCATTCCCATATATAACTATTTTGCATGAAGTTTCCATGGGCCCTAAATATGATAGCGTCATTCTTAAAACTGCTTAAAACTGTCATTAGATTCACTACGTTTGTAGGCTAAACTCTAAACTCACTTTTTATCATACATTTTTTATCTGGTTCCTGCTATTTCTCATCTCTTCTGGTATCCAGCAGCATTTCTCTCTCTTTTTCTTTATTTCTTCCTCCTCCTCTCCTCTCTCTCCCCCTCTCTCTTCACACACACACACACACACACACACACACACACCACACCTACCTCACAATCTAGGCTCCTGACTCTTCAGAGAGTCCTGCAATTCTCCAGCCCACCAAGCTGTGTTGCAACTCAGCCTTTGTTGAACCTTCCTTTTGCCTTTAACACCGCCCTTTCCACCCCACCCTGCCTCGGCAAGTACTTATTCATTACGTGACGCTCAACTTAAGAATCACCTTCTTTATAAAAAATTCCTGATCCTGATTTGTGCAAAGCAGCCACCCCTATACATACATTCTGCCAGCATGTGTTTATGAATCCCTTGGTTGTGCTTCTTTGTTTACACACTTGCTTCCAGGGACCGTGTCTGCTTGATCTCCCTTCTCTCCCAGAAATTCCCACGATGCCTGCTGCATGGTTTGTGCTCAGTAATTGAACGCATTGTGCATCGGGGAGATGGCACATTGGCCTGTGTGATGGGCAAGGGGGTGGAGTACCAGAAGGGACCATAAAGTTCAGTGCATTCAAACCCTTCCCTTCATGGTGCAGAGAGAGCTGGAAGTATTCACAGAACATAGGAGGAAACTGAGGCATTGAAAGAGCTGAAAGTATCAATAGGACTCTTGCCCCTGAGTTTAGTACCCATTCCAACATGCCACACTACTTTCTGGGATGGTTGAGTGTGGGTGAGAGAGAGAGAGTTTATTTTCTGTTTTGCTTTTGTGGTGCTTTCATAATTTTGGTAAAGATATTTTTAAGTCAGAGCACAGGGCGGTTCAGTTTTCATTACCCAACTTGGCATTTTCCTCTTGTCCACAGAGCAGCTCTGAGCCCTTATCATGGCCCTGTAACCACATCCTCTGCTGGGTCCAATGCGAAATCAACACTGTCAGTGAAAAACAAACACTAACAGGTGTGCAGCACATTGAGCGAGGGAGGGCGTTTATTCTACAGCAAGGGTCAGTAAACTGGAGGGAAGGAAAAAGCCGGTCCAGGTATGAGCAAACCGCCTGGGTCCCACAGCCCCCTCGGAGACAGGGAGAGGGTGCCAAAGGCTTCAAACAGCTGCTGTGGGCCTGCAACAACCAGGCCCACCTGTGAGCAAGCTGCAGAAATGGATTTTGGTAATTACATTCAAAGCTTCTGTCAGAGTCACATGTTAAAGCTTCTGGGATCTCTTAGATGAGATCCAGGCAAGTGTTGCTGAAATGCACACACTGATGATGATGCAGCAGACACTCCCCGGGTGTCCTCAGCTGCAGCACCTGCTAGGGACTGGGGAGCAGCAACGGTCACATTTAGGACAGGACATCTTTCATAGGATCTTGTTTCGGGGGAAACAAGACCTTTACAAAGTCTGCCCTGAGAGGAAATCTCCTGTTCTATATTCCTGAAGCTGCCACCCTGGTGTTCTTCCTGAACCAGGTGACTATACGATGCTGAGTAAAAATAATTACCAATAAGAGAGAGGAAGCAGTCTGTATGGAGCTCTGTGCTAGGCTATTCTTTATTTTTTTTATTTTTGAGACAGAGTCTCACTCTGTCACCCAGACTGGAGTGCAGTGGTGCGATCTCGGCTCACTACAACCTCCACCTCCAGAGTTCAAGCAATTCCCCTGCCTCAGCCTCCCGAGTAACTGGGATTACAGGCACATTCCACCATACCTGGCTAATTTTTGTATTTTTAGTAGAGGTGGGGTTTCACCATGTTGGTCAGGCTGGTCTCGAACTCCTGACCTCAAGCAATCTGCCTGCCTTGGCCTCCCAAAGTGCTGGGATTACAGGCGTGAGCCACTGTGCCCCACCGCGCTAGGCTCTTCTAAGTATGTATTGTCTTATCTAATCCTCACATCAACACTATGGGTAGATATTGTTATCAGCATCCTCTCTACTTTACAAATAAGGAAACAGAGGGAACAGGGTGAATTAAACTGCCCAAGGTTATGCAGCTAGCAGGTTTGTGGTAGAGCCAGGATTTAATTCCAGGTCGTTGGTTTCAGAGTGTGCGTTCTCAGGCCTCCAGGATGCTGCGATTGACCTGACAGTTCGCAGCCTTGGCTGTACATTAGAATCACCTGGGGAACTTTTAAAAATGCCAGTGCCAGGGCTCACCTCCAAAGATACAGATTTATATGGTTTAGGGTAGGCTGAGTACTAAAATGTGTGTGCCTGTGTGTGTATGTAATGTATAATATGTATGTGTGTGTGTACGTGTGTAATATGTCTTGTGCAACCAGATTAGCCTTAGTCACTTAAAGAGTGCAGCTGGCACAGGTAGGTGTTTCCCATCACGTCATCCAAGGAAAGTATTGAGGGGTGGCAGACAACATCGGAAGCCCAGCCACAGAAGGTCTGGCTCGGGCGTGGTGCCATGACTAAGGCTTGGGGAAGAATGCCAGAAAAAAGGAAGAGGCGGCCAAAAAAGGTGCTGTGCTAGAGAGACAAGAAAACCAACAGAGCCCCATTGCACCGTTTGCCAAGGGTGGCCGTGGAGAACTGCCAAGGGGGAAGACCACAGAGGTGACCACCTTCACGGCCGCACAGAGCGTTCCTGGAACTCCCCAGTACCAACAAGAATCAGGGTTCCCGGAAAAGTGTTTTAAGACAGAAACTTGCCTTATAAATCACATCTGTTGGAGGTACCAGGGGAGTATTTTGGGATCTGAAGTGTTCAGGGTAGGAGCCTTTTGAAACCAGGGACTGAGGCCGCGGAGATGTGAGTGCTAGGATGTCAGGGCTTCCCCAGCCCAGCAGTTGCGAGTCTGGAATCGGCTTGGTTCAGTTGCAAGTTACACTCTCACTCTCCTTACACCCTAGACATGTGTTTTAGAATTATAAAATTTGTGTCTGTTAAAGCCAAGTTAAAATAGCAAAAAAAAACCACTCAGTTTTATCACCCATGTGTAACAACTATTATTCAGTATATTCCTTTATATTGTTGTCATTTTTTCTGGACATAATTTTTCAACAGTGTATATAATGTATATGCAAATATTATAGCCTGCTTTTACACTCAAAATAATATGACCATTTATTCCTTAAGGAATATCCTTTCCTTCATAATAATTACACTAACAGTGACCAGTTATTGCTGGGTTTCTGAAAATTGAATAATCTATGAACTCATTCTATAGAAAAAAATTTGCATGAACATCTACCGGTAAAAATTGTTTTTATCTTTACTTAAATATACAGGACCTAAAACAAGTACTTTATAACATAAAGATGTACATCTATATGTTATATATCTACATCTGTCTCTCCTTTTTTATAAGGCCTAAAAACAAATGCTTTATTACTTGCAAACCACAACATCAAAACAATTTTATATGTTAAAAATAAGACAACAGGGAGGCTGAGGTGGGTGGATCACGAGGTCAAGAGATCAAGATGATCCTGGCCAACATGGTGAAACCCCGTCTCTGCTAAAAATACAAAAATTAGCTGGGCGTGGTGGTGTGTGCCTGTAGACCCAGCTACTCGGGAGGCTGAGGCAGGAGAATCGCTTGAACCCAGGAGGTGAAGATTGCAGTGAGCCGAGATCGTGCCACTGCAGTCCAGCCTGGCAACAGCGAGACTCCTTCTCAAAAAAAAAAAAAAAAAAAAAAAGCAACAAAACCAATAAAATTCACAATTATATATTGATGAAATGTGACAAGCATTGTTTAGTGAATTTAACTGTTGCTCATTGCTATGGTGCAGATATGTTGCCTTCTTGGTGCCAGTAGGACCAGTGCTGTGAGCTCACTCAGTTCCTATACCACTTTTCTCTGTTCTAAACTCTTAGGACATTTATGTGCACAACCTGAAGGCATCCTGGGCTTTCACTTGGCATAAACACTTCCTTTATATCAACTCTGATTTCCTTCTATTTTCTCTAGCTCATGACACTTCAAGTAGTACCATCTGGTACCAATTGTAATCATAAACACAGATTATGAATTGAGTTCCCAAACTGAATCCAAATAGATCTTTCAGCTGATCCGTAATATGGCTATATTAATTTTTAAATTGATTGAAAGGTAAACAGAAATGTAATAATGTTCCACAGAGAACTTCCAAACCTAGAAGACTTATCATCACACTCCTGTCATTTTGAGAAACACTGATTTATTGAATGCCTCACTTATACCAGGTAACTGAGCTGGAGCCACTTACCCCCTGTAACAACATATCATTCCCATTTCTCAGATGAGGTAGCCGAGGTTTGTAGAGGTTATGAAATGTGATGAAGAACATGGAGCTGTCAGGTGAAGGAGCTGTGATTCGAATCCTGGTCTCTGCCATTCCAAAGCCAGTGTCCTTGGACCATGATCTCACGTGGCCTTCCACAACTTCTTACAAAGTGTTCTTCTCCCATGTGGGGTTTAGCATGTTTATACTGACTGAGACCAGAGTTAGAGATAAATGATTGGTTTTTTCCCTTTAGAGAAAGCCTAGCGTTTGTCATTTATGGTGTATTTATTTGCTTATGAAAATAACCTAATGAGGATGGACCCTTTAAGATATTTCAGTAGATCTGGCAGTAGCCCAGGTGATTGGCAGTAGCTTGCCAGCTATTAAATCATTCTGAATATATGAAGAATTGTCATTTTCTTCTCAAAAGGGCTTTGTCACGTGGTGTAATCCCTGCACACACATTGGCATAAGCAGGAGCTGTCTCTGTGCAAATCCATTCTTGGAACCAATCATATTAACTTGATATTTCATGTTTTGGCCCAATACCATAAACTGGCACAAATAACACTAACCTTGCCACGCACTAAAGATTGGAATAATAAATCAGCCAGCCTGTAATTATATTGGGAGAGCCAGCTTTATTCTTTAGTGAGCAGATTGATGTATCTGTTTAGACTGGTTGCCTTTAGGGCTCTCTGGGAACCTGGTCTGACTTTCTAGTGCCCAGGCAGGCACTGCCCCAGATCACTGCATATATAGGTGAGTTCCCGCTGTGCAGGTCTGTCAGGACCAAACTGGTTTCCAAACCTGGCTGGCTTCTCCGCAAGGTGCATAGCTGTCAAAAGTGAAACAAAGCGAAGGGCTTGGGATGCCAGAAAGACAAAAGCTCATCCATCAGGCTCAGCAGGAAAGGCAGGGGAGGCAGCGGCGGGAAGCCTTCCTTAGCTGTGTGATCCTAGATGGCTGTTAACTTAGCATTTGAGGACTGTCTCAGATAGACACAATTGGACCAGGTAATTCCTTTGTCTGAATTCATGTCATTTCTTCAGCAATGGCAGAAAGGACTTGAAGCAGCAGGTCTAAGTGGGCAAAATAAGACAAAATAAGTGGGCAAAATACTGACTGGGACCAGGGCTAGAGATAAATGATTTTTTTTTTCCTTTAGAGAAAACCTAGCATTTGTCATTTATGATGTATTTATTTGCTTATGAAAATAACCTGATGAGGATGGACCCTTTAAGATAGTACAGTGGATTTGGCAGTAGACCAGGTGGTTGACACCTGGTATGACAAAATAATGTAGCAAAAACATTTCATATAGGGGGAAATATTCCCTGTCTGTTGTCTTGCTTGCTTCCAAGACAGTATGAAGAAGATTATATGAAATATTAATGAGGAGACGGGTAAGTCGGTGAAAGAAGGGGCCTACTCCTGAATCCTGCCATTAAAATTTGCAGATTAATTCCATTGGAATTTAAAACGTATCGTTGCATTGTGGCATCAAGTGTGAAGAGGTCCCGCCTGGATATATGTTCCTTGCCTGATTCCTGAATGGCTTAATTTGGCTTTGCCTGTCTGACTCATATGCCTTCCCCACATTAAATTGGATGGTTTATTTTCTGAGATCAAGTGGGCTATTTTGGCTTCATGGCTGTATCTCTTTGCTTTTGTGGTTTTCTCTGCTGGGAATCCTCTAACTGAGTCCTCACATGCCTGGTGGCTTTTGGGTGCTCTGGTCCCAGTGTTCAAATTGCCTCTTCTCAGAGAAAGGCTTTTCCCCAACTCTCTCTGCTCCTAATCACTCTGTTGCATGTCTTTGTTTAATACTTTAATACTCTAGGATTATGTCATTTATTTCCTTGTCTATTTTCTGTCCCCACCTTCACATGTATGGGTCTTGTTTTCCACAGTATCTTCAGTGCTTAGGACAGTATCAAGTACACAGTGGGCATCCACTAAATATCTCCTCTTATGTAGTGAGCCCTCCTAGAGCACTAACCATGTTGCCAGACACCATCCTGAAAGCTTTATGAATATTAATTCATTTAATCCTTGCAACAAGCCTAGGAGGTAAGTCCTATGTTTGTCTCTATTTTATAGATGGAGAAACTGTTAAGTGACTCTAGAGTCCATTCTCTGAATGACTGCCTTAGGTTGCCTCTCTAGTATTTTTGTGGAGTAAGTGAATGAATGTCTGTCATCATCATTACCTAAGAACTCTTAGAATAATATAAGTTCTAAGTTCAATAGACATAAATATCATGATTCTAAAAATAGAAGTCTTAAATATATAAAAGATATCATGCAAGGTTAAGAGTCACTAGATTCAAGACATCACGGTCGTAAGGGGTAATGGGTATGCAGTCTCATTCTTGGTTTCTAATTCTCCAGAGCTTGTAGGCAGACAGTAGGTTAAATCCTGGGATGATACTGACCGTGAAAGGCAAATATTTTTCTTTAAGTTGCCACAGGCACTGAAAGATTAATCAAATGGCTGGAGAATGCAGGGAAACTCAACAGTGTTTAAGAAACTTGGTGGGCTTTATAACTTCAGTATTTTGAAATGTATTATTATTTGTAGACCTCTACTTCATATGTTTTGGTTTGATTGATTTGTTTAAACTCATACATTTTAAATCAATATAATAAATGTGTATACATTTATTTTTTAAAAAATCAATATACTTAGTTTGTGTACACACTTGGGAAGTTCTTGAGATTCTTGGAGACATAGAATGATTTTTAACTTTATCAAAGGATTTCACATTTGTCTTCTCATTTTATTTCAAAGCACCACTGAAGTAGCAGAGCTGGAATAATGTCATTTTTCTCCAGGCTAGTCGGCTCCCAGGTCAGTGGTCTGGACTCTTGCGGTTTTCTTTTTGTCTCTGTAGCTGCTCCCTCATCCTCTTTGCTGGTTCCTCTTCATCTTCTAATCTTGAAAGGTTGACGTGACCTAAGATTCAGCCTTTGGGCATCTTCTTTTCTCTACACTCAGCTCCCTGGTGGTCTCTTTCATTCCCTCAGATTTAAATGCCATCTCTATGCAAACGACACTCAAATGTTATTTCTAGCTCTGCTCTCTTTATCTCAGGACTGTTCATCTCTGACATTTCCCTTTGGTTGTCTAATGGGTATTTAAGACTTAAATGCCTCAACATGGGCTTCCAAGGGTGCTGTGCTTTGTCCTCTCCGTGTCAGTAAGACTACTCCATGCTTCTAGTTGCCAGACCAAAGGCCTGGGGCCATCATTGACCCCAGTCTTGCTCTGACCCTCCAAATATGATCTGTGACAAATCCTGCCGTTTCCACCTTTAAGATTAGATGTATCCAGGACCTGGCCTTTCCTTTACACGGCCACTGCTGCCAGCCTGGGACAGACCTGTATCGCTTTTGCCTGGTTGATGGCAATGGCTTCCTAACTAGTCTCCCTGCTTTTCCTTTGCTGCCCTTCAGTCTACAGTCGGCCCATCTTCCCTGCATGGGCAGATTCAACCAACTGCCAGATAGAAAATATTGGGGAGAAAATGGATAGTTGCACCAGTACTGAACATGGGCAGATTTCATTTCATGGTCCTTATACTCTAAACAATAAAATGTAACTATTATTTACACAGCATTTACATTGTATTAGGTATTGTAAGTAATCTAGAGATGATGTAAGGTATAAGGGAGGATGTGTATAGGTTACCTGCAGATACTATGCATTTTATATAAAGGGTTGAGCATCTGTGGATTTTGTTATCTGAGGGGGATCCTAGAACCAGTCCCCCACAGATACTGAGGGATGACTGTATTCTCAATGCAGCGGCTAGGGTGATTCTGCTGTCCTCAGATCATGATCCTCCTCTGCTGAAAATGCTCTGAGGACCTCCCCTATCACTTAGAGTAAAAGCAATAGTCCTTCAACAAGCCGCATGGCCCCACCCCTTCTGCTTTCATGGATTCCCTATGACTTGACTTCTCCGCTCCAGCTGCAAGATCTCCTTACTGTGCCTTTCACATTTTCCCACCTCAAGGTCTTTGAATTTATGCATTCTTGTCTCTGCCTGCAATGCTGTTCCTTCAGAGATCTCTGAGGCTTTCTCCTCAATTCTTTTAGGTCTTTATTCACATTACTTTTTAGTGAGGCCTTCTCTAGCTACACTATTTGAAATGGCCATAATCATCCCAGCACTTCCTACTCTCCTCCCATGCTTTATTTTCTCTGTGAACACTTAAATCACTATATACATTCTAGATGTGTTAGCATAAGCCTTAGTCTCCTGCCTGATCCAAAAATACTGATAATAATGGCACCGACCTCTTAGGAGTTGTTGTCAGGATTCACTGATGTAGTACAAGTGCTTAGCACTGTGCCTAATGTGGAGTAAGCTTTCAGTGGGTGTTAATGTGCTTCTAGTGTGCATGCCCTTAGCATCAAACTCAACACCGTATGTGCAGGAGATGTCCCCTACATTGCTTTTAAATAAATAAATGACCTAATTGGCAGAGTCAACATTTCCATACTTGTCTTTGTTCTGGGGAATCCATACACGTGAGGTGCAGCATGGTACTGAAGCTGATGCCTACACGAAGAGTCTGAACTCAGCCCCGGAGCGTTATCACTACTAAGCTAGGCCTTGCTATAAAACACTGAGCTGAGTCCATCCGATTCCAGCACAGGTTCTGAAAAATAGGAGAGTTTTTCTCCTAAAGAAAAAACTGTTACATGAGAGCATAACCTTTAAGGTGTACTCAGTAATAATGCCTTCTGAAGCATTTGTGCAATTAGATGTATTTCATTAACCGTGTTTTCTGAGCAGAGCAATTTGAAAGAACACGTTCCCTTCTGTCTCACTCTGTCTTGTTCTCATCAGCCCTTTCACAAATTAATCTGAATAAAAGCAACTTCCCCTCAGCGGTGAGTTAAAATAAGACACCGTTCACATGATTATTACTTCATTGTGCTTTTATGCACATTCCTCTGTGCTTTTTAATTATATATAATTACCAGGAAACAGGGAATAAAATCTGTTTAATCTACAATGAAACATGCTAAATAGATAATGTTTCCAGTTCCTGTTTTTGTTTGCTTATTTGTTTAGGTATAATTCTAAACCAGGGAGAGCAGTTTCAAGAGTGTAGACCCAGATCTTGCAGAAAATACAGCTTATAGGATTAAGCATTATTTATTTCATGTGTGAGCTATTACCTTTTAAAAATTGTCATGCAACTTAGTGACTCAAGTAATGACATCTAGGGTGCAATTATTTCAAATGCCATTTTTTTCTTCCTTGTAAAAAAGTTGCAATTAACTGTAAACAAGAGTTAAACTTGATGGTAGCCTATGGTGACTTTGATATGATGATATGTTTTTACTAGTTTCCGATGTGTATGTTTCTGATGATGAGCAATTTTATTAAAGCCTGTCACAGTGATCATATTAAAATGCATGATACTATTCAAGAGGCAGCACAGCTCAGTGTTAAATCTCAGGCCCTGGAGACAGGCTTCCTGCACCTGAATCTAGTTTTACCTTCTGTATTAACTATGCCATCTTAGGCAATTTACGTAACTCCTTTCCGCCTCAATGTCTTCATCTAGTAGCTATCTCAAAGGGTTATTGATAGAATTAAATTGATGTATATAAAGTGCTTGGAAAAGAGCACTGGATGAAAGTTAATTGTTGTTATCTGTCACAAAAGGCAAGGTCATTACAAACAACTGCAAAATCCCAGTGACTTGAAAGAATAATGGTTTATTTCTTGCTCAAGCTACATGTCCCTCGAAGAGTAGTCGTTTCAAACGCTGCCAGTTGCTGCAGCAGAAGTAAAGATAACTCTGGACGGTCTTGCCATAGCAATTAAGTGCTCCTGGCTGGAAGTGGCACTGCAACTCTGCTCCTAATTCATTGGCCAGAATTAGTTACATGGCCACACTCAATCACCCGGAGGCCAGGAGGTGCAATCCACCTTGTGCCTGGAAGGCAGACATCAAGCATCTTTGGCAAACAGCACTCATAACATCCACAGTTTCTGTTGTTGTTATGCCTCTGCAGCAAAAGCATCTGGCATTCTTGGTTTGAGTAGCCTTAACCTTTCGGGCTGCTGGCTGTTGCTGTTGGTGAAGGAGAACTGCAGGCCTCTGGGATGGGCTTTAGGAGGACAGAGTGTGGGGGTGTCTTGGAATACAGCAGGCTGAACAGAAGGCTCTATTTAGCTGTTGCATGCCAATCAGAGCCGCTGAACCGTCTGTGATATAAATGACTTAAAAATATTCTCCATTGAAAAAAAGGACTAGTTCTAACACTTTAAACATGTCAGCTCCAAGATAACATTGGAAATGATGTACATGCCTCTCCCCGCCACCCCCGTCGATGTCTACTTCCTCTATTCAAAACTCTACATTGTTTCCCAAGGCCTGGTAGCTCTTGCAGGTGGTTTTATTTAGAGATCCCCAGACTTACATTTGTTTGTTTGCCTGGAATTCCTCTAGGGCCATCCAAACAAAACCAAATGGCTTAGAGTTCACTCTTGATTACCTATGCAAATGGTTGGGAATCTTGACTAATGTGTATTTGCCTTTATTTGGGCTTCTCTATCTGTTTCTTGGCCAGGAACCCTGCCCCTCACCTTTCCAATTCTCCTCTAGGCTCCTCTTACGTAGGCAGGATCACCCATTTGATTGCCCTTTGACCTCTATTTAGTCCAGTTCTCTCTCAGTTAAGCTGGGCTCCTGCTCCGGGGTGGGGTTGATGGTGGGTAAAGCCTGGGCTTTTGGTTTCCCTGTAATCTCTAAATACGTTGATAATTTATTCTAGCCTTTCTCATTGCTGTCACATGGCTAGAGAAAAGAGCAGTGCACTGCAGATTTCAGAAGTCAAGACTGGGTTGAATAAGGGGACAGTGAAGGGAACTCTTTTTTTATAACACTGTCACTGGAAAGGTCCCACAGCTACTGCCACTCCCAACCCCCACCTGCCATGATAACACATACTTCCACTCCTTTCCTCACACAATCCCCCAGCAGCCTGCAATGTTCTCTGTGCACAAGCTTTGGAGGCAGAAATTCCTGTGTTCAGATTATGAGCCTACCATTTATTAGCTGTGTAACTTAGGGGAAATTACCCAACCACCCTGAAGGTTGTTTTTCATCTGCAAAGTAGGGTTTAATGACACTTAATGCAAAGAGCTGTCATGACAATGCAGTGAGAAAATTTGTATCACTTCCTGGTGTAGTTCCTGGCACATTCAGACTCTAAATTAATTGTGGTTGTTATTAATTAAGACCCAGATTAGGTTTTATCTTTTCTGTGAACTCTAACCCAACTACTTTATATCCTCCTAAACAATATACTGGTTTTCAACTATAACAAAACTCCTATAACTAATAGACCAAAAGCCTATTAGGTTAAATGGAACAGAAGTTTGTTTCTCAAGTTATAGTCCAGGGAAGAAGTTCCAGGTTGTGGGCAGGGGAAGGTGGTAAGGACAGTCCTTTATAAATTCAGGGTGATGTCTGCTCTTCTGTCCTCGACCAGTGGCTTCCAGTGTCACTCTATTCATTGTCTGCCATTTTACCCTGAGGGATGGGCAGGAATGTGAAGGTGCATATGTGGGATGTTTTATGACCCAGATGCATTGACCCTGTCACTGTCCATTGGGAGAAGTTTATCACAGGGCCACAGGCTGCTTCAAGGGAGGCTGAGAATGTGGTGCCATGGGGCTTCCAATTCCCCGCTGCAGTGAGGAAGAGGAGAGGGGATTCTGGTGATCAGCTACTTATCTCAGACTCAAAACCTTTTTATATGTGTTAGGAACATCTTTTCCATTAGACTGTTGGCTCCTTGAATCAGAGACCTTGTTGTAGCCTTAACCTTCAAAGTTATGTTCAGTAACAGACATGCAATAGCATCCTAAGAATACTTTGGGAATTGAGCTAAATGAACAGAAGTTCTATTCTTTGGGCAAATATCTTAGATTTTGTCTCCCTTGAATCTCAATGTTACTTTTGAGTAAAATGGACAAGCTTTAACAGATCGTATTAGGGATTTCCAGTATTGGACAATTTATTCTTTGCAACAATTCTAAGATAATAACAAAAGCACTGAGAGTTTCCCAGTGATATGTGGATTCCATGAGCAATTCCCATCATTAAAGTTACTAAATATAATTATTTACTGATATAGGGTACGTTATGCTCTTAGTATTATCTTTCACACATCTTTTAAAATTACAGATTCATATAGGCTTTTCTCAAAGATAAATAGCATTTCTGAAAATAAGTAGAGTGGACAAATCATACTTTTGTTGGGTTTCAGGGCGAAAAAGAAAATATGATGTTACACTTTTTAAAAACCTGTAATTTTAACCTAAAAGTCTAATAAAAACATATGTTTGGATTGGTAAGACAATTTTCTTACCTCAATTATGATAGAAAATATGCAAATAGGAGCCAAGTAAACTATAAGAGACAGATCACTAGATTGGGTATAAATAAAAATAAAGCAAAACAAAATATTTTAAAGTTCCCCTCCTCTAGACACTTGTGCCAGTTAAGCTACTGTCTCTGAGCCTCCAGCTCGCTTTTTTCTTCACTACTATGTGATGTCAACAAGCTTGACTCTGCAGCGTACTGTTGTGCTTTGCCACCTGGTTCCTTAGTCTACCTCTGCCACTGCATGGCTGCAGATTGTAGGGCAGGCCAAGGGCAAAGGGTCTTCCTTCTTTCCTTTTGTTTCGCGTTCTTGTCCTACAGCTCTCGCAAAGCTTCTTCCTCCCACATTCAAAACAGTTCCATTCAGTAGCAGCGGTTGAATCCAGGTTTCAGTTTTCTAGCACTCATGGAATCAGCCTCCTCACATCCTTTAGATATGCCAGCAGGAGTCAGTTGATATCTTTTTTTCAGGGTCTTGGGGGACCTCTTGGGCCCATGGAGCTCATCCTCCAATCTCAAAGGAACCAGTGCCAGCCAAACAGCTGCCCCTTCCGAGGGGTATGAGTTTCAGTCCATGGTGCCTCAATGCCGAGCTTCTAAGTTTTCATAAATCTGATTTCTTCTCTCTGTTCCTCCTAGGATTGGTAGCTGCTTCCTGCACCTGCTAGCTTCCTGCTAACTTCTCTTTCTGTATGTATTTTGTTTTTTCAATACCTTAGTTAACAATTTTTGTTATCTTCTCTCTGTTAAAATAACTGGTGGCGGCCGGGTGCGGTGGCTCACGTCTGTAATCCCAGCACCTTGGGAGGCCGAGGCAGGCAGATCACGAGGTCAGGAGATTGAGACCATGCTGGCTAACATGGCGAAACCCCGTCTCTACTAAAAATACAAAAAATTAGCCGGGCATGGTGGCGGGTGCCTGTAGTCCCAGCTACTTGGGAGGCTGAGGCAGGAAAACGGCGTGAACCTGGGAGGCGGAGCTTGCAGTGAGCTGAGATTGTGCCACTGCACTCCAGCCTGGGCGACAGAGCAAGACTCCGTCTCAAAATAATAATAACAATAATAATAATAAATAACTGGTGGTTTCTGGCTTCTGACTGAGCTCTGATTAATAGAACACGTGAAGTTCTTTCAACAAGCAAGTGGACCAAAATGCTGTATAATTTGAGTCACATCATCATACTTGGTTTTAGATTTGAATTTTTAAAAGTTCAGTTTAATGATATGTCCTTTTACTAAAAGTTATACTTAAATAGCTGAATGAGATTTGTTTCTGCATTTGGTATTTGGATGGAACTTTGAGAATGAATGATTTTTTTGGATAGGCTTTGCTACTAATTCTATTATCTTGGAGGCAAATGTTTCTCTGTGCCTTGTTTTCTCCTCACCGTATTGGGGGGAAATAGTGTTTACCATCAGGTGACTTTTACCACACCTTCAGACAGGTGAACTATAGGTCATATTACCATCTGGCTAGGGACAAAATGACTCATAGATGGGAACTTTTCTGAAGTCTGACATTTTAAAATGTTTGTTTGATGGACAAGTTTGGTTTCTAAAATACCAAACTTACCTCCTTGAATTCTTAAGCAGAATATGCTAAGTATATTTATAATTTTTACTAACTCAGGATTATAATTTTTACCCTTAAAGTCTGTTCAGCATTAAATACATCTTTCTCCTTAGGGGTCATTGGCAGGTGGAGGGATGTTTCCCTATAAACAAAACTGCCCCAGACTAATCATAATAATGTGGAAGGTAATGAGACAACAGCATCAACTAAGGTTTACAGTTATTGAACTCTTACTAAATGCCAGGTGCTTTTTCAGGTCCTTTACACACATCATCTCATTTATTCCTACAGTAACTGTAAAATTGAGGTACTCCTGTAACATGGTTTTGCTCTGTGTCTCCAGTCAAATCTCATGTAGAATTGTAATCCCCACGTATCAAGAGAGGGGCCTGGTGAGGGGTGATTGGATCGTGTGGGCAGTTTCCCCCATGCTGTTTCCATGGTAGTGAGTGAGTTTTCATGAGATCTGATGGTTTAAAAGTGTTTGGCAGTTCCCCACTCCCTCTCTCCTGCTGCCATGTGAAGAAGGTCCTTGCTTCCCCTTCACCTTCCTCCATGATTGTAAGCTTCCTGAGGCCTCCCCAGCCATGTGGAACTGTGAGTCCATTAGACCTTCTTTCTTTATAAATTACCCAGTCTCAGGCAGTCCTTTATAGCCATGTGAAAATGGACTAATACATATGGTTATCTCCACTTTACTGATGAGGAGATGAGAAACTGAATTACTTCCAAAGGTTCTACAGCAAAAATTGACAGAGCCAGAATTAAAGTCAGTCCAATTCCAAAACCCACTCTCCAATTCACTGCAAATTTTTGCATTTTTTTTTTCTTTTTTTGCTTTTAATGTGTACATTCATTTAGGAAACAAGTTCAGGACTGACCATGTGAAGGTCATTGTACTCAGAACAGTGGGAATTACCAAAAGGATTGAGACACAGCCTTGCCTTCAAGGAATTTATAATCCAGTAAGGCTAGATTTTAAAAAGTACTAAAGTACTGACTATAATACTAAGTGGTATGTAAAAAGTGTCTTCAGGGGGTAAAGTGCCTCTCAGGAGCACCCCAAAGAGCGGGCAATGCAGCAATGCAGCCTGGTGAGATCAGGGAGGTCTATAATGGGCAGGTAGAAGTTGGCCACAATCCTGAAAGAATGTGGGGCTGGGGTTGGAAAGAAGGGCAGGAGGAGAGGGGCAGGCTGGGGGTGGGTACACTTGAGAGAGCTGGGAGCAGAGAGGTAGGTAAGGTAAGTTGGAGCCACGTTGCTTGGAAACAAACTGATTCTTCAGAGACCCTTCCTATTCACCCTATTCATGTCACATTCTTTGTCATGTCCAAGAGCACTGAAGTCATCAAAACCCTGACCTTTAAATGGGCAAGACATTAAAACCTAAAATACTGAAGATGAATAAGAATCTGTAACCAGCCTTTACTATGTGCCAGACACTGGTCTAAGCACTTTAATCTAACAACCCTAGAAAACAGGTTGATATAGTTTGGCTGTGCCCCACCCAAATCTCATCTTGAATTGTAGCTCCCATAATCCCCACATGTCATGGGAGGGACCTGGTGGGAAGTAATTGAATCATGGGGGTGGGTTTTTTCCATGCTGTTCTGGTGGTACTGAATAAGTCTCACAAGATCTGATGGTTTGATAAAGGGGAGTTCTCCTGCACGAGCTTTCTTGCCTGCCACCATGTAAGATGTAACTTTGCTCTTCCTTTGCCTTCTGCCATGATTGTGAGGCCTCCCCAGCCATGTGGAACTCTTGAGTCCATTAAATCTCTTTCCTTCATAAATTTCCCAGTATTGGTAATGTCTTTATTAGCAGCATGAGAACAGACTAATACACAGGTACTATTATTATCTCCATTTACAATGGGGAAAGTGAGGCACAGAGAGGTTAAATAACTTGCCTGGGGTCACTCAGCTATTATGTGGCTAAGCCAGGATTTAGGCTCAGCCTGTCTGGCTCTAGAGTCTGATGGTCTTAGTCACTATTATACAATGCTTTAAAAAAGAAAAAGAATGAAAGGAAAAAGTAAACACCATCTGAAATTTTCCCTGAAGCAAATGGTGCTCAGAAGGCTCCTCCTCTGGGCACTGCCCCTACCTCAGCCCCACCCAGGCTGTGAGGTCTCTTCTCTCTGGTGAGCTGAGCCAGGGCTTTGCCAGGTGTGGACTTGCCTATCTCCCCAGAGGGACTGCATGGCCTTGAAGGTGGGACAGTGTCTTACCCTTGGGGAGCACATGCACACCGAGCATCTTTAGAGCAACTGTGTTCTTTCTAGGAAGAGACAAACATCTCTTGGTCACACTCAGCTCTCTATTAGAAAACAAAAGATGTTTCCTCTAATATGATTTTGGAATTTTCACCCAAGTTGGGTCAGTCCTTTCAAGATCCAAAGCTGTCTGTGACTCTTTTCTTTATGTTAGCTGGTCTGGCAGGATTCTGATTTTAGTTAAAAAAAATCAAATCAGTTCGCCTTTTCTGGATGCCAAGAATAACTGATGGAAATGAGGCAAGTGCAAATGAAAGAAGATTTACTTACAAGGAAAAAGGAATCAATGCAAACCACAGCCTCATTATTGAGGTTTAGAGACTCTGGTGGAACAACGGAGGATGTTTAGTCTTTTCTGAACGACTCAGACTTGTTTCTCATTTCCTGAGATGTCTCTGGAATAGGATTAAAATACAGCATACTTCATAAAACCAAACTGAACAGAAATTAATCTTTATGATTCTGAAGGTAATTTAGGATTTGTACAACATGGTGCCCATATTTTGAAAATTATATAGTTTAACAAAAACTAGTCTGATTATTGAACTTTTTGGGTGTTTAGATTCTAGATAAATAAGAGTATATCATGTTCAGATTTCGCATGGAACTTGTGGAATTAAAATCTAAATTTTAGGATAATAAGAATAAAAAAGAAAATCATCCTTCGTAAGCATTATATAGACTTGGACGGAAATCTAGAGATCGCCTAGACTCGGAATCCTTTATCTTCTAGGCTCACATAGGAAATAGTGTTTGACTAAGCCTGAGGGACCTGAGTCTTAGGACTCCCAGTTTAGTGCTCTTTCTGGGGATCTAAATATATCTGACTCAGAATATATAAGGGTAAGGATAAGATCCAGCCTTATCTGGTTGACTTTGATACTGGCTCATTCTAAATGGGGTGGTTGACCTATCTGAGGCAACTAATGATTGAGAGTCCAAATACACTCTATGTCCTTCACTCTTGCATCTTTCCCCCCCAAATATCATACTGAAAAAGTAAAAAGTGTTGGTGTCAGACACAATAGTACTTATATTCAAATCAGGAATTACAAAGACATTTGCATTTTGCTTTGCCCATATGTTATGGTAAAAATGTGAAGGTTTTAGTGCTTATTTTGCATCTGTACCTCGACTCTAAATCTAAATTTAATTTTCCCTCATTGAACTAAGTAAGCAATATTTTTTGGTAAAGTTAATTTAATGCATCTTAATAGAAAAGCAATTAAGAGCACCTTTAGCCATGCTGATGTAGACACTAGAGGCTCTTAAAACACACTGTTGGTTATCCATGCTTGCTATTACCTGGAGATGAGAAGGCTGCACATGAAGTGCTTTAGGCACTTGTGCAAATCATTTGCCTTCACCAGTGTCCATAATAGATCTGCTTTTCCCATTATCCTGCTGAGCAGTCAATAAAGCTACCAGGAGGAACCAGGGCAATGCAAATGCTGCCTCCCAGCACTATTTGTTACTTCCTAATTTATAGCCACTGCTCTCAGTCTTATCAAGTAGAAGAACAGCCAGAAGGGTCTTCGTTTTCTCTCTCAGTTCAAGCAAAGACAGCACTAACATTCACAGTGAGAATTTTTATTTTATGTTATAACTCTACTTGAAGTTTGGATCTCATAATACTCTTCTTCTGGGTGTTATTTTACCTACCAGCCTGCTGATTGGTTATTATATGAATTGCAAGCTGTAGTCAAAAGGGAGGTGATTTAAGGAGACTGAACTGACTTGACCTGCAATATGAGTCAATTGGTTGGTTCTGGTGGGCTTGAGGCAGACTTTTAGTACCTTCTTAGTGCTCAGAGGAACTGAGGCAATTTGAGAAGTTTATTAATTTAATAGCAATTTCACCATCCCTTTGGCTTTAGGCCAGTCCATTCATCCCTCTTAAGTACCTAAGTGTGGTTTTTCTCTCCAGCATCTAATTGTTGCATGGTCATCTGAGAAGGTCAATAGCTGGTGAGTCCAAGGAAAATGTGGTCAAGATTAAAGTACTCCAACTTTGCCATTGTTAATTGAGGGAAGAAAGCAGCAGAGAAAATGATCAATGAAAAGAGAACTGCATTTGGATAAAAGCAAGGCAAGAAGTATCATACGAAACGGCAAGTTCAAGACTCAGAGTGGGATTGACAGAAAATTGGATTGTATCAGTTACAGTTATTTGGTTGCAAGTAGCAGAAAGTGATTAGTTAGTTAAGCAAAAATAAATAAATAAAATAACTTTAATTTAAAAATATTAATTGGATACTGGAGTATCTCATTTGCATTCAAGAAGAATTGCTTGAGAGAGTTGCCCCTGGCTCCAATGATGCTCTATTTCTCAGTATTTTTTTTTATTTGTGATATGGGTTAAATTGGGGCAGATGACCACCCAATGGTCAGGTGATCCATCATCCATGGCAAGGATCCAGTAAGATCTCACAATTTAGATTTGACTGTGGAGGGACCACCTCTGGACTCAGGTCAGATGCCAGAGAATCAAGGAAACTATCCTCCAAAGTGTTTAAGACAGGTCTTTCTTTGTGGACTTGAGCAATAAGTATTCACAGCATCTTTCTGGAAAAGTCTTCCAGTAGGGCAGCAGGGGCTAGAAGAAAAGGCCCAAGAGTCAGTTTCCATGATAAAACATTGTCATTTGCCAGCTTTGTAACTCTGACTTTACTGTGCCTCAGTTTCCTTATCTGTAAAATATCTACCCTACTTGCCTTACAAAGGCATTGTGAGGATGAAAGGAGGTTATAGGTGTGAAGTGTAACTTGTAGCATGCTCAGACAGGCCTAAGCCTTGTTATGATGCAATTCTGTAAGGACTGCTGCTTAACTGGGCTGTCCAGTCTGGGCACGTGAATTCTGCCTTCACTTGGCAGTGGGGTCCACCTAATTGAGATACTTGTCTGGAAAAAGCCCGAAAGGATGCCTTAATTTGAGAATTTATGAAGAGAAAATATTTTTATCAGCTCAGAATGATTGAACCTAAGCTATGGAGCGAGAACCATATCAAGTTTACTCACCAGTATCTTCAGTGTGACAGTAATCTCTAACCACTACCATGTGCAGTGGATTTCTTCCCATTAAGGACGTGATGTAAATATCTTTGGTTTGGTCCAGTTTTTGTGTTTTTCTGCTTTCCTTCAGCTGATTCACTGGTGCTCTCTTCTTGTATCCAATATCATTTTTGAGTGACCTTTTTTCACAGTAGGGCTTCCAATGACAGCTACACAGAATTTTCAGTTTCTTCATTTCACTCTTCAAAGTTTGGCCTTGTGGTAGACTCTTTACCAACTTTTTCTATTTTTCCAGCTGCTTCTGTTCTTAACTGCACTGGACTTTGGAGGTTCTTGCTTCTGTGATGTGCTGTATGGAATGTTTGTTGCTGATGACTAATTGTTCTGGGTGTAACTTCTCTGGGCGACGTCCAGTTCTCCATCCCCCTGCAAAATAAGCCAACTCTGATTTATATGTCTGCGAATCTCTGCTGAGCCATGGAGGTGGTTGTGGAGGGGAGTTGGAGTAGAAATGCTGTTGGAAACAGTACAGTTTGCTATGGCTTCCAGCTCAAGAGCGAGTCAAATGTTGGCTGCTGCTCAAGGTCAAAACTTGGGCAGAGGAGCAGAATTAGGTCTTGTCCATACAAATGTGATTCTAATGAGAATCCATCCATTCTTATTACTGGCTAAGTGGAAGGCCATGAGGATAGTTTCAAAGTTGGGAAGATGCAACCCTGAACCTTCTCCAGGGTTTCAGTGCCGTGTCTCGGAGTTGCTGTTGCAGGGAGTCACACTCTGCCCTTTTGGGGCTGGACAAGTCACCTCCAGATGGAGGCACAGCATTTAGAAGATGCTTCCTCTGAAAATCCCTCCTGGCTTTTGCATTTAATCGTTTCTGACCCAGTGTCATTTAAATCACAATGCCACCTTTGAGAGCTTTCCCTTACAGAAGGACTGTGGTGCAGCAGGCTGCCCAGCCATGCTCGCATGCATGAGAAATAAACAGCATTGACAGGCGAAAGAAATGGGATTATGGCACTTTTTTTTACTGGCTTCCTGCTTCACTACCTTTCAGCATTTCCCTAGGTAAATTCCATTCTTCACTTTCCCACACCACTTCCGGTGACCAAATATTGTCACTTGACGTGGAGCTCCGAGTCAGGCCCAAACCAAGGAAGTGACAGAGAGAGAATGGCATAGTTGTAATGGTGATGCAGGCAACAGCCTGAGAAGCCATTCTATTACCAGGACTCTTGTCTTAGTGGAAAAAGGATCACACTAAAATCCTTAAATGGAATGTGTTCAAGACAGTTTTAATGCCACTTCCTCCCAAGTACTTCCTTCCTTTTCAATCCCTACAGGTTGCCACTCTGCATTCTGGAAGGCTGAATGTAGGAAGAAAATAGCAAACATGGAAACCCTTGCAAGGAATGATTTGAGTATATTTATTTTTTGATTTGTTTTCCAAAGACTTTCAGATTAGGGGTTATGCATATTTTAGTCTTAGGTGGGTAAGGTGTAGCATTTAAGAATCATCTCTGTGTTTCTAGAACAAGAGTAGACATAAGAGAGAGGCGAGAAACACATCCTTATCAGGATAGTCTAGGTTATGCTGTGAGAACAAAGTCTCTCGAATCTCAGCAGTTTGCTGGAACAAAGGTCTATATTTTGTCCAAGCTATATATTTGTCATGGGTCAGCTGAACTCACTTCCACGTTGCCTTCCTGCTGGGACCTAGGCTAATGGAGCAGCATCTATTGGAAACATTCGTGGTATTGTTACAGAGGAAAAAGAAACATGGAAAACCACTCACTGGCTCTTAACGCTTCTGGTCATAAGTGACATATGTCCTTCCTGCTTGAATTCCATTGGCTAACACAAGCTATATGGCCACACCTGAGTTCAGCAGGACATGTTTTATCCTCTTGCAGGAGAACTACCACAGAGAAGGCCTCTGGAATATTTGGCAAGATCATAGTAATACAATCTGCTACACCCAAGTTTAAAAAATATTTAGCATGTGATAAAGATACATTTCAAATTATTGAAAGAAAGAATAAAACAAGTGGTCCTGGGGAGATTGGTAGCTTGGAAAAATGAAATAAAATGAGGTTATTATTGCATGTCATGCTTAAAAATAGAATGGATTCAAGCTAAAAAATAAGAAGAAATATAGATCAGTAACTTACAATATTGGACGTCAAATGCTTCTTTATGTATAAAAGCAAAGGTGGAAACTATAAAGGCCAAGACTAGTTAGAGCTTATTATAGAAAAATAAAATCCTTTAATAAGTAAAAAAAAAAAAAAAATAAACAGAACTAAAAGCCAACAACAAAAGGGATAAAAATATTTCCAATTTAAATAGCAAACGATCAATGCTTTTACTGATAGAGGAGTTCTTACTCATCAGGAAGACAAAGATGTTGAGTTGAATAGGTTTTTGCTTTTTGGATCAGATTTCCTTTTAACCATGCAGAGTCCAGGTGGGAACTTCTCTCATTTTGATTCATTTGGTGCATTTGGCTTCATTCTCTCATTTTAGTGAAGATCCTCTGCTTCACCCTGGGTTCAGGTTGCATTTTGCAGGCTTCCCACGTGACATCCTATGTGGTCAGAATCAAGAGACCATTATCTCAGCCCCTATCCCACATAGGTGAGGTTGGATTTCTACAGGCTTCTGCAGGAGCAGGCCAAGGACTTCCAAAATCTAATCTCCATCTACTCACATCTCACCACCTTCTCCATTGCCACCGTCATCCCCCTTGAGCCATTGCAGTCCCTTCCAAACAGCTTTTCTATTCCTGTTCCTGCCTCCCAGAATGCAATGTCTTTATAGCAGTAAATCAACTTCTAGCTTAAAACTCTCCAGTGGCTTTCAGGTGCACCTAGAATAAAATCTGACCCTTACCTTGGTTTACGAGGTCCTTTGTGAGCAGGCCCCTCCTAACTCTGTGACTCGTGGCACCCTCTGTGCACTCTTCAGGCTGCAGCCCTGTGGACCTTCTCCCCCTTGCATCAAATGCAACATGCTTGTTCCTGCCTCTGGGGCACTGGCCTTTCTCTCCTGGGTCCCCTCTGCCCAGGAGGCTCCTCCCTGCGTCCTCACATGGCTGGCTCCATTCTCACATTTCCACACTTAGAATCCTTCTCTGACCATATAATTTGAGCACCAGCCCTTACCCCCATCACTCTTGAGCTCCTTGTACTATTTTGTATTGTTTATAGCAGTTACTGCTTATTCAATATTATTTGTTTGTGGTTTGTTGTCATTCTCCTCCTACTAGAAGGAAAACTTTGTGAGAACAGGACCTTGTCCATCCCCGTGTTCACCACTGCATTTCCAGTTCCTGGGACATAGAAGGTGCTCAATAAATATTCATGGAATTGATGCATTCCTTAGAGGATAGCATCTGGTTAACAAATTTTCTTTTGCTATTATTGACAGCACAACTTTGATGGATTATTGTGCTACACAACCTCCTTCCTGGCAGGGAGAGAGGGGGCAGGGGGAGAATGAGGCAGACAAGTACATCTTTGCTGGAGCCAGAAACTGATGCTTCTGTTTATTGTCTTATGGTATCAGCCTCTAAAAAAGATGTTTTATAGGGCATGATACTGTATCTCCAACAAGAATGCAAGTTCTATTTTACAGGTGCCTGAGACACAAAGGGCCCTGGTCACTTTTCCAAGGTGTCATGTTTTCTTTTGGCTCAAGCTCATACCCAGAAACCTGGATAAAATTCTGTACTGGACAACTTGGGAGCTGTCAAAACTCCCTAACTTGTAAGCAAGCTGACCATAACACATTAGAAGGAAGCCTTTCAGAAAAACTAAACATCTAATAGATAAACTCCAATAACCTAAAATTCCACAACCTCACACCATCCTAAATAAGGCATCTGTTTAGCATAATGAGAAAAATATGGAATATGTGTCCAAATAACCTGGATTTGAATCATAGTTTTACCACCAAGAAAAGCTGGGTGAATAGAAAAAAAATCATTTCAGGCCAGGCATAGTGGCTCACGCCTGTAATCCCAGCACTTTGGGAGGCCGAGGCGGGTGGATCATGAGGTCAGGAGACCAAGACCATCCTGGCTAACACAGTGAAACCCCGTCTCTACTAAAAGTACAAAACATTAGCCAGGCGTGGTGGCACGTACCTGTAGTCCCAGCTACTCGGGAGACTGAGGCAGGAGAATCATTTGAACCCAGGAGGTGGAGGTTGCAGGGAGCTGAGATCATGCCACTGCACTCCAACCTGGGCAACGGAGTGAGACTCCATCTCAAAAAGAAAAATTTGTCTTCCTAATCATCATAAAACTATTGTTGTTAGGATTAGAAAAGGAGGTCTGCAAAATTGCTGAATGTGGCACTGGGCATATAGCTGGCAGTCAATAAGGGATAGCTTGATCTGAATAAATGTCCAGGCAAGTTGCTATATGAGGAGAGCCTTCTCTGCCTTGAGATACTGTGTCATTCTAAAGGCAGACCAAATGTGTGGATGTTTAGGTACTATCAAGTCGGAGGCACTGTATTTTTTTCTTTTCAAATTATTTGATATTATAGGGGAAAAAATCAGAACTTCTTGGACATTTTTAGACTTGTTTTACAGTTAAGCATTAACTCTGTGTAGAGGAAAGAGCTCTGTATCATTTTTGATGCTTAGAGCTTCAGCAGGTATTAATGGTCCCTGTCCTTCCTCTTCCTGTGATTGATCCCTTGGCTACCATGACCAGCTGTCTCCGATCTTCTGCTGGATCAGCTGCCTATCGCCTTGTGCCTTTTCACTGTGGGTTCTTTTGATAGTATTGGGCAGATGGGGTGGCAAGTCTCAAAGTCCCATGGTGGCTGCAGCCATGATCAGAATGTTTCTAAGGGAGCCCCAACTCTGCCACTGAGACGTGTGAGCAGAGCCCATGCTTCTTTTGCATTTATCCTCTCTGTTTTCATTCAGTGCCTCTGCAGACCCTAATGTCCTAGGGCGTGGGGTGGACGGTCCTCCTCAGAGAATGGCTCTGAGTAACCTCATCTCTGATGCCAGACAACAGCCACGGGGGATGTCTGAATCCTGATCTCCGCCTCCTCTCCAGACATCGCCTGAGCACACCCTTCGTCAGGGGAGCAGTCCCTATTTTCCACAGTCTAGGAGGGTGTTGACAAAACCTCTGATTCATTCCTCAGGCAATAGATGAAATCTGTCACCTCAATCAACGCAATGCTTGATGACAAGCACAGCATCGAGAGTTCTGTCCTAATATAGGTGAAATTCTATATACATTTTAGGTATCTTTGAGCCTTTTTTCATTGAACTTTAATGGAATTAGAAGCACTCCTGCCCTTTTCAAAAAATAGTTATTCTTAATAAGAACATATGAACATATGCTTATTATTCTTAATAACTATTTTTTGAAAAGGGACAGGAGCATTGCAAACAGGAAAGAAAATAAAGGGATAGCAGAGAAACAGAAATTTTGCATGGCAGTTTTGGAAAAATAAAGGAGATATAGCAGGAGAAAAAACTCCAGGACTTACAAAGACACTTCCCGCAGAAGGCAGGAGACCAGCGGGGAGGCTGCTATGATAATCCAGGAAAGAGACAGGAGACCAGGGTGGCAGCAGCAGTGGCAGTGATGAGCAGTGGTAAGATTTGAAATCCAACAGCACTGTTCACAGATCAGACATGAGTTGTGATGAAAACAGAGGCGCCAAGGATGACTCAAACAATTTTGGCCTATGCAACTGAAAGGATGGGATTGCCATTTCCTGAGACAGGAAGGTGGAGCAGGATAGTGGGGACAAGGGAGCATAAAGAGCTGGGTTTTGTAGGTGTTCAGTTTGAGTTTGAGATGCCCACTTATAGAAATCTGAGTGGAAGTGTTGAGAAGGCAGTCACATATATGAAAATATATATCATTCATATGCAGTTTGAGAGAAATAGCCAGCCTTAAGGTATATATTTCAGAACCGCAGCAGAGCATATAGATGGTGTTTAAACCTGTCTGTCTGTCTATCTATGTATCTATGTATCTATGTATCTATCTATCTATCTATCTATCTATCTATCTATCTATCTATCTATCTATCTATCTATCTAATCTATCTAGAGGGAGAGAGATTACTTTAAGAAATCCTGGGTGTCTAGACTGGGCAACTGGAGGGATAGTGGCCGCACACCTCTGTTTACCTTTCATCTTGCTTTTCAGAGTGTGTTCTGTTCTGTTTGGTTTTAATGTTCAGAGAGTTTTGTTTTAGTATTCCAAGTGGCCCTACACCGATCATTTAGTGTACGTTATGTTATGAATGTGTTAGCTCTGAACACCATTCCCAGGACCATTCTCTGGTTGGGATAAATAGGGTAGAGGTTGAGCCAAGGGTCAGTTGTACTTTGACTAGCATTCCTCAGCATTTTAAAAACAGGGCTATTAACATATGGTTCACATACCATGTAATTCACTCAAAGTGTACAGTTTACGGTTTTTTGTATATTCAGACTGTGCAAACATTCCCACAGTCAATTTTAGAACACTTCCATAATCTCCAAAAGAAACCCAATGGCCTTTAACTATCACTCCCTATCCCCTACCCTGCCCTCAGCCACAGGCAACCATTAGTCTACTCTCTGCCTCATGGAGTTTCCTGTTCTGGACATTCCATAGAAAGGGAATCATGCAACACGTGGTACTTTGTGACTGTTTCTTTCACCCACGTGTTTTCACATTCTTTCATGTCAGAGCAGGTATTATTACTTCAACCGTTTCTTACAGCTGAATATTCCAATGTATGGATGTATCACATTTTATTGATCCACTCATCATGTGGTGGACATTTTGGCTTTTGTATGGTAATGCTGCTGTCAACGTGGTGTATGAGTTTTTGTGTGGACATATCCCTCAGTGTGTTTAGAATCTGCCTGAAAACCCTGACCACGTCAGGGGCAGAATAAGCAGAAGGGTATTGGATGTTGTCCAATAACCTCACATTTACCTTGTGAAGGAAAGGAGTTTCAGTTCAGCATAGGAACCACAATCTCTTGTTTGTTTTACCAGAAAGACATTCTTCGTTTCACTCCTACTCTGTACCCACCATTTTCTCTCAGCTGCTAAGAAAAAGGAAGAAGACAGGGCAAAATTCAAGAACCTACATAATTTAACCATCGCAAATATTCAACCTAAACCTCCCTCTAAACACTGAACTCTTCACTCACTCCCATTTATACCTTCCATATCGTATTAATGCTCCCCTTTCTCCCGGATGCTTATGAGTATTTCAGATAAGTGTAACTGATCACCTAATCTTTCTGCTTCCTCCTCCCCTGCTAGAGACTTGGCCACCTGCCAATCACAGCAGAGCACCTTAATTCCTTCAGCACATGCTCAAGGGGTCACCTGTGTGTGCAGCTCCAGGCATAACTCTGCTGCCAAAGCAAAAAGAGCACAGCTGCTTCTCAGCTTTCCAGGCCATCGGGAGGGGGCTAATGACAACTGGGCCTCTAAGATGCTCTTTGGGAGTCTACACTTGATAACCTTTGGGGAGTCATGCAAACAGCTTGACTTAGGCCATCCCATGTGTCCCAATAACACTGTCTCATGTGAATTAAATAGTTTGTTTTTTAAAATTCTCTCTCACTAAAGTGTCATCTTCTTGTGGGCAAGGACTGTGTCTTGTTCATCCTTGCAGCCTCAACACTGTGTCTGGCATCCATGGACAATTCATTTTGCTCAATTGAACTGAATGCTCAAGATCCTCAAGAAAGGAAGAAGAGAAATTACATTTACAAAGCACCTATTGTGTGCCAATCACTATAGTAGGCCACTTTATGTTTTATTAAACTAAATCCCTTGAGCTAGAGTCAGCTGCAAGGGAAGATGATGACCACTATTTTACTGATGAAGAAACTAGACTCCCTCCCTCAGAGGTTGAGGAGTGTGCTAGAAGTCACACAACCACCAAATGGCAATATTAAATTCAAACCTGGTGACTCCAAAGGCTATACTCTCCACATCATAACAGAGCCTCCAAGTCTGGTTGTAAGAAAGCATCAGATAGCAGGCATCCATTTCTTCATGCGTTCTTCAGTTCATGTAGGTAAGTACTGAGTGTTAATTATGCATTACATACTGTGCTAAGTTCTAGAAGCACAAAAATAAATAAGACATGGCTCAGTCTAGGAAGGAAGATAAGTGAAAATCATAATTAATTAAATCAGAATGTCAGGTATGGCACTGTAAAAGATCTGATAGGAGAACCGCCAACCTCAGCTTCTGGGCCACAGGAACTGCCACCAAAAATTAGTGCCAAAAATTAGTGCCAGGAGAGTGTCTCTGGGACCTACAGGAGTCAGCCAGGTGAGTCAGAGGCGTAGAGTAAAGGGATGGGCTTAGAGCCTCATTGGTAACATGGGGACAATGATACTCTCTACCCCATAGGATTTTTGTGAGGATTAAATGAGTTAATTCAAGAGCATAAAATAGTGCCTGACACACAATATGTTCTCAGTGTATTGTAGCAGCTGTTATCATTATTTATCTTAGATGAGCCAATAATTTGATGAAAAGTATCATAGAACTATTCAGAATAAAGCAGAGATGAGAACATGACTCCAGAATGCATTTGCCCAGAATCCTGAATCCTGAATCCTCCTGACTTGCTGGCTGTCTGACTTGAGCTGTTGAACCGTTCTGGCCTCCAGTTTCTCCTCTGTACCTTCTCAGGGTCGTTGTAAGGACTGAGATAAAACAGGTCATATGCTTAGATCAGCACTTGGCATACAGTAAATACCATCAGCTTGTGGGCTGTTGCAAGGTGCTGTGGAAACACCGAGAAGGGTTACATGAACTAGACTGTCAGGGAAAGCTTCCCCCAGGAGCCAAAGCTTGCCTGGGTATGGAAAGTGCCACAAGGTGAGCCAAACCTCACCTGGGTGTGGAAAGTTAACGGGTAGGTTAACCAGTCTTGGGAAGCAAGGACAGTAGCCTGGTCAGAATGACACTCTTAAAACTCAGAAATGTGGGGTGGCTCAGTGAGTCCTGAGAACTGGAAGCAGCTGAAAGATGTTAGAACATAGACGGTGGTGGCCATGGTGTCAGCAGGTCTGGAGAATGGGGGTGCATATTGCAGAGTAAGCAAAACAGTTGGAACTCTATGCTGGAAACTGCCTGGCTCTGTATCACGCATCTGAAGAGGGTGCTCTCAACTTCTTCCTTAGTGGGAATTCCCCAGAACATTACTAGTATGCTGTTGTTTGCTAACACATGCCATCCATCTTGAGTTGCACCATTGTTATTTTCCGTCTATTTCTAAGTCTCTGAGATGGGGGTGCATCTTCCCATTGATGTTGGTATAATTCCTGCCCACCTGGACTGAAGGTGAGGTCTTCCAGAGAGGGTTTGCCTCAGCTTTGGCCAGTCATCAAGGACACTATTTTAAGTTCTCTGGTTAGGGGTTTTGGAGTTACACTGGCAGTGTCAATTCCAACAACAAAGCTGCATGAACAGCTTGTAGTTCAAATCCTCCAGGGAGATTTGCTCCTTCCCCCATCAGCAAGGTTCAGACATACAAACAAGTTTTCTTGCTATCTTTTCTTTGTAAGTTGTGTTCATTTCTCATTTAAACTTGCACTGAAGAATAGCTGCTTCCTATCCCAGCTTTATATAGGGCTTCCTATTAGACTACCCATTTGGAGCATATTTTTTCTTTCTTATTAGTTACTTTTGTGTCATAATCAATAGCACTTCAGGTTCAGTGGAAAAGAGTACTTAATTCCATGAATGGATGGTCTCCTTAATACCTACTGATCTCCAAAAGGAAAGTCGATGCTGAGGTGATGTTTATTTAGTGTGTGTGAATCTATCCTTTACCCATGCGATACAGGATGTAGTCCTAAACACAGAAGCCACTCTACGTATTCCAGACATAAAGCATTTAGCATAGAACTGACAGTTTTCATGGAAAAGCTGAGGATGCAGAGGTAAGGGCAGGTGCTTGCTGGAGACCAGGGTTGATGATCATGGTGATCTTAGCCAGGACACCAGAGCAGGATGCTCTCAAATGCTTGTGGAAATGGCTGCAATTCTCAAGAATCTTAGAGACGCTTCATCAACTGCCTCAATCTGCTGAGGCAAAGCAGGTGGTTCGTAGAGTTCTTTAGGAGCCACTGGGAATCTCCCTTCTGCTTCCACATCTGTCTGCAACCACCTCTGGAAAATAATAATGGTTTCTGCATTCCAAATCTCCAGTGCGTTTCTTTCACTGGCAAATTCTAACCTGGATCCACGCTGGGAAGAAAATTCACAAAACCTGGTTGCCAGACTTAGAGTGGCAGCAGTGCCAAGTTGACAACGGATCAACCAACACACAGGGGAACCAATGCCTTTTTCCAAGAGCAGTTTATTACTATACTTTTTTTTTTTAAAGACCACTGGTGAAGAGGAACAGGGGGTGTGTGACATTTAAAGACTCCAACAACCACATTTCTCCCATTTCAATTTTTGGCTCTTGTACCATCAATGATAGTTAATAGGGACCCACGGGGTCTGATTTAATGCTAATGAATTATAAAATTCATCTGTGTATTGTCCATAAAAGCAAAATTCTGAGATTCTCCAAGATGTATTAAAGTCTCTCACCTTTGGGCTTAGTCCCCAGCTGGCATGTGAGGGGTTGCGTGAGGAGGTGGGAAAGGGGACAGAGAAGGGTGCTGATACTGGGACCTCACATGGCCCTTGAGTGACCAACAGGCAAACATCGGCAGTGTCTCAGCATCTCCCTTCAATCAGCATTCATAAAGCAATCTCTATGTAAACAGGTTCGTGTTAGTCTCTTAAAGGATAGAGGAACGACATGACCACATGACCTTGACTTTCTGAGAATTCGTAATTGACTTGGGCAGGTATATGAAGCAGCCCTGTCTCCATCTCCTGTCTCTTTTTCGAGGAGGATGCTCCTGGAAATCTGGGCCAGCCACAGAACCCTGTTTGTGCTGCGGACGCTGTGTGGAGACGTTTTGCAATGCCCGAGGGAGGCTGGCACACCAGGGATGCAGAGACAGTCAGCCGGAGCCCAATGAGAGCTGGCAAGTTTCTCCTGCCCCAGGCAGGAAACTCTGCACTATTTAGAAGTGTCAGAGCAACCCCTGAAAATGTTAACCAGATTGCACACACAACACAGAAGGAGGGAGGGGGAATACGACTGATCAGAAACACCTCCTTTTTTTTTGGAAATGTATAATAGTTAACTGTTGTAATTCCTTTATACCATGTGTTGGACAACTTAGCTAATATGTTAATTGATTTATACAATTTCTTTCAATTTTCAAATGGAATCTTATGTAAGAAACACCTCATAATAAGACAGCTGTAATGTCCTATTGCAAAAGCAGCTGGTCCCTGCCATGTTCAGGCATCAATGTATTTCACATCATTTTAAGACCATAGAGGTAATCTGTACTAAGCCACACTTATTATTTTTCTTTGGCATTTATTTTAGTCAGTTGGAGTTTTTTGACAATTACATTTAATTTGGATATTTATGAATAAGAGTTCAAAGAAACAAACTCTGCTACTTTTCTGCCTGCCTACCTGTTTTCTTAAGCACTTGTAGAAATAAATGACCAAATTACTCCTATAGGTGGAGTTCGGCAAGCTACATCCTTTGGGTCAAATCTGGTTTGCTACCTGTTCTGTAAATAAAGTCTTATTTACAAATAAGACTTCACTTGTAAATAAAGTCTTATTTACAAGCCATGCTTATTCATAAGCCATGCTTATTCATTTGCATATTGTCGATAACTACTTGCATGCTAAGTTGTGCAGTTGGAAAAGAGACTTGTATGGCCTACAAAACTTAAATATATTCACTATGTAACCGTTTCAAGAAAAAAAAAGCTTTCCAGACACTGCTGTTTAAGAATATAATTTCTTGGTGTAATAATTCCAGTTCAAAACAAATTTCCCTTTTAAATGTTACCTTCCTAATCCCTCACTCTTCCTTGGCAAAAAGCATCTTTTGACATTGATTTTGACCAGACTTGGGTTCTAATCCCAAACTTTCACAGACATCTAACAACAGCCAAACAGAATTAAAAATAAATTTTATGCATAGACTCCACAATGCTGCTTCCTCCAATGCATGCAAGGTATTAAGAGTTAAACATGTTGAATTTTAACAGAAATTCACAAGGAGGGGAATCAGAGCAGTTCTAAACCAAAATCATGGTAGCAACACCACATGTAAATCTCATGAACGTCACCTAGTCAGGGCAGTGAGAATGCATTTCACGATAGGGAACATGGCTCCAAGTTATAATTAAGCTAATTGATCATTTCAAATGTTTAGTCTTCCCTGCTTGATAAAACCAATAATGGGAGAGCTTATCAAGCAGATGTGTAAGTTAATCATAAACTTCTTCTGGCTTCCCATTTCCCAAGGACCAAGTGTATCTTTCTCTTTGAGTACAGCAGGCCTGTGTGATTCCAGTCTGCAGTCCTATTGTGCAGCTCTCTTCTGAGAACACAAGAGCATATAATGCCCTTCTGCTCAAAGGTCAGCTCAGTGCTGTCTCGTAGACAATGGCACCAAAAGGTATTTTGTTCAAGCATGGTAGATGGATGATTTCCCCACATGTACTGGGCTCTCCTGTTTCTCTGACCCCATTTTCCACCTTTCTGACTCTGGTCCCCTGCTTTCTACTTTCTTCCTAAATATCAACTTGGCTCCCTAACCTGCCTCAGGTATCTGCTTAAATGTCCCCTTAACACAGAAGTCTTCCTTGATGGCAGTTTCTAACAGAGAACACTGGCCCTTTACAGGCAAAAAGCTTTTCCAACCCCTGCTGTTTAGGAACATAACCTCTCCCAACACTCTCTATTCTCCTTAAATGCCTTTTATATTTTTCATAGCTTGTATTGCCATCTGGCATGTTATATGCTTATTCATTTGTTTTCTGCTGCTTGTTTCCTCCATTGAGGGCAGACACTTTGACACTTAGATTTATTGACTGATGAATAACCTGCTTCCAGATCATCTACCTGTCATATAGTAGGTATTTGGTAAAAGTTTTTGAAAGGATAAATGTGCGTTTCTATATGTAATGAAGTTCGCTTTTCATTTAGAAGGGGGGAAACAAAAGAGGTCTTTTGTCTTATGCTTATTAAGCCTTCCGTTCTATTAGTGGCAGTGCAATGAGGTCATTGAGAAAACATATTTTATTCACAAACAGACCCGAGTTCAAGTCTTGACTCTGCTATTTAACAACTACGTCTGTAACTTAACTTCTCCAACCCTCAATTTCTTAACCTGTAAAATGAGTATAATAGTACTTATTTCATAGATTTGTTGGGATTACATGAGACGATAAATATAAACTATTTACTGTGACATATAATTTGTATTTTAAAACATTATCTGCTAGGCGAGGTGGCTCACACCTGTAGTCCCAGCACTTTGGAAGGCAAAGGCGGGAGGATTGCTTGACTTCAGGAATTTGAGACCAGCCCAGGCAACATGGTGAGACCCTATCTCTACAAAAAATTTAAAAAATTAGCCAGGCATGGGCTGGGCGCCGTAGCTCACGTCTGTAATCCCAGCACTTTGGGACGCCAAGGCGGGAGGATCACGAGGTCAGGAGATCGAGACCACCGTAGCTAACACGGTGAAACCCCGTCTCTACTGAAAATACAAAAAATTATCCGGGCGTGGTGGCGGGCGCCTGTAGTCCCAGCTACTCAGGAGGCTGAGGCAGGAGAATGGCGTGAACCCAGGAGGCGGAGCTTGCAGTGAGCCAAGATTTCACCACTGCACTCTAGCCTGGGCGACAGAGCGAGACTCTGTCTCAAAAAACAAAAAAACCCAGCAAAACAAAGCAAAAAGAAACAAAACAAAAAATCAAAAAAAAATTAGCCAGGCATGGTGGTCTGTGCCTGTAGTGCCAGCTACTCAGGTGGCTGAGGTGGGAGGATCGCTTGAGCTTGGCAGATAGAGGATGCGGTGAGCTGTGTTTGCACCACTGCACTCTACCTGGGCAACAGAGCGAGACCCTGTCTCAAAGAAGAACAAAAAAAAAAACAGAAACAAAAACACATTGTGACTAATGCCTGTAATCCCAGCACTTTGGGAGTCTGAAGAAGGTGGATTGCTTGAACTCTGGAGCTCTGCAGCTGGGCAACATGACAAAACCCCGTTGCTACAAAAAATACAAAAATTATCCAGGTGTGGTGGCGCGTGCCTGTGGTTCCAGGTACTTGGGGGACTGAGTTGGGAGAATTACCTGAGCCTGGGAGACGGAGGTTGCAATGAACTGAGATCACGCCACTGCATTCCAGCCTGGGTGACAGAGGGAGACCCCCTCTCAAAAAACAAAAACAAAATAAAACACATTATTTTCGTTATTTCACAGAATTCAATAATGTACAAATTTCAGTTCAAGTTGACTGTCACCTGATTCCTGAATCTGGACTGATATTGGATAATGAACTGCTGAAACAGAACCTTTACTGTGATTTCAGGAAAAATGTTTAACATGATTATATGATAGATTGAAAGTGAAGTTATTAAAGGATAGAAGAAAACTGAAAATGAGTTCAATTGAGGGGTCATGTGTTTGGTATTTGTGCTCTATGTAAACCTTTCAAAGTGTATTTAGTCAAATTAATCTGTCTTTTCCTTTATGACTTTTAGATTTTGTACCATAGAAAAAAAGGCTTTACCCACTCAAACATCGTAAGTACATTAACACAGTATTTTCTTCTAAAACTGTTATGGCTAATTTTTTACATTTACATCTTAGATATGTCTAGAATTTATTTTGATATATGATTTTTTTTTGAAATAGCTCTCCATGTGTCTGTAATGAAATAATTCACTTTCCCAATACTGCAGTGTTGATAATTTATACTATCATTAATACTGTTAAATAGCTAGTAGAGTTAATCTTTTTCTTTTAGAGTTTTTCAGAAATTTCATGATTTTTCTCAGATGTTAATTTCAGTTGTAAACAAGCCTTTTGATAGTTTGTTCACTATCAAAGTTTATTAAAAATTTTCTTATCATTACAATATTGAATCTTTCTATGAACAAGATAACTACTTCTTTTTATTTGGCTACTTTTATGCCCTTTGGTCAAATTTTAAAGTTCTAAAAACATATATGTTATTAAGTTTGTTCTTAGACATTTTATAATGTTTTCAGATATTATTATAAATGAGGCATTGTCTTCCATTATATTTTTATAGCAGGTTATTATTTGACATAGAAAAACTTTTATAAATTTTTTTCTTTTTTATTATTATACTTTAAGTTCTGGGGTACATGTGCAGAAAGTGCAGGTTTGTTACATAGGTATACACGTGCCATGGTGGTTTCCTGCACCCATCAACCCATCATCTACATTAGGTATTTCTCCTAATGCTATCTCTCCCCTAGCCCCCCACCCCCGACAGGCCCCAGTGTGTGATGTTCCCCTCCCTCTGTCCATGTGTTCTCCTTGTTCACCTCCCACTTATGAGTGACAACATGCGGTGTTTGGTTTTCTGTTCTTGTTTCAGTTTGCTGAGAATGATGGTTTCCAGCTTCATCCATGTCCCTGCAAAGGACATGAACTCATCCTTTTTTTGTGGCTGCATAGTATTCTGTGGTATATATGTGCCACGTTTTCTTTATCCAGTCTATCATTGATGGCATTTGGGTTGGTTCCAAGTCTTTGCTATTGTGAACAGTGCCGCAATAAACATACGTGTGCATGTGTCTTTATAGTAGAATGATTTACAATCCTTCTACTATACAATCCCAGTAATGGGATTGCTGGGTCAAATGGTATTTCTGGTTCTAGATACTTGAGGAATTGCCATGCTCTCTTCCACAGTGGTTGAACTAATTTACACTCCCACCAACAGTGTAAAAGCATTCCTATTTCTCCACTTCCTCTCCAGCATCTGTTGTTTCCTGACTTTTTAATGATAGCCATTCTAACTGGCATGAGATGGTATCTCATTGTGGTTTTGACTGGCATTTTTCTGATGACCAGTGATGATGAGCATTTTTTCATATGTCTGTTGGCTGCATAAATGTCTTCTTTTGAGAAGTGTCTGTTCATATCCTTTGTCCACTTTTTGATGGGGTTGTTTTTTCTTGTAAATTTAAGTTCTTTGTAGATTCTGGATATTAGCCTTTTGTCAGATGGATAGATTGCAAAAATTTTCTCCCATTCTGTAGGTTGCCTGTTCACTCTGATGATAGTTTCTTTTGCTGCGCAGAAGCTCTTTAGTTTAATTAGATCCCATTTGCCAGTTTTGGCTTTTGTTGCCATTGCTTTTGGTGTTTTAGTCAGGAAGTCTTTGCCCATGCCTATGTCCTGAATGGTATTGCCTAGGTTTTCTTCTAGGGTTTTTATGGTTTTAGGTCTTACATTTAAGTCTTTAATCCGTCTTGAGTTAATTTTTGTATAAGGTGTAAGGAAGGGGTCCAGTTTCAGTTTTCTGCATATGGCTAGTCAGTTTTCCCAATGCCATTTATCTAATAGAGAATCCTTTCCCCGTTGCTTCTTTTTGTCAGGTTTGTCAAAGATCAGATGGTTATAGATGTGTGGTGTTATTTCTGAGGCCTCTGTTCTGTCCCATTGGTCTATGTATTTGTTTTGGTAACAGTACCATGCTGTTTTGGTTACTGTAGCCTTGTAGTATAGTTTGAAGTCAGGTAACATGATGCCTCCAGCTTTGTTCTTTTTGTTTAGGATTGTCTTGGCTATGCAGGCTCTTTTTTGGTTCCATATGAACTTTAAATTAGTTTCTTCCAATTTAGTGAAGAAAGTCAATGGTAGCTTGATGGGGGAGGGCAGTGAATCTGTAAATTACTTTGGGCAGTATGGCCATTTTCATGATATTGATTCTTCCTATCCATGAGCATGGAATGTTTTTCCATTTATTTGTGTCCTCTCTTATTACCTTGAGCAGTGGTTTGTAGTTCTCCTTGCAGAGGTCCTTCACATCCCTTGTAAGTTGTATTGCTAGGTATTTTATTCTTTTTGTAGCAATTGTGAAAAGGAGTTCACTCATGATTTGGCTCTCTGTTTGTCTGTTGTTAGTGTATAGGAATGCTTGTGATTTTTCACATTGATTTTGTATCCTGAGACTGCTGAAGTTGCTAATCAGCTTGAGGAGATTTGGGGCTGAGACAATGGGGTTTTCTAAACATACAATCATGTCATCTGCAAACAGGAATAATTCAACTTCCTCTTTTCCTGATTGAATACCCTTTATTTCTTTCTCTTGCCTGATTGCCCTGGCCAGAACTTCCAATACTATGTTGAATAGGAGTGGTGAGAGAGGGTGTCCTTGTCTTGTGCTGGTTTTCAAAAGAAATGCTTCCAGTTTTTGCCCATTCAGTGTGATATTGGCTGTGGGTTTGTCATAAATAGCTCTTATTATTTTGAGATACGTTCCATCAATACCTAGTTTATTGAGAGATTTTAGCATGAAGGGGTGTTGAATTTTGCTGAAGGCCTTTTCTGCATCTATTGAGATAATCATGTGGTTTTTGTCATTGGTTCTGTTCATGTGATGGATTACATTTGTTGATTTGTGTATATTGAACCAGCCTTGCATCCCAGGGATGAAGCTGACTTGATTGTGGTGGATAAGCTTTTTGATGTGCTGCTGGATTCAGTTTGCCAGTATTTTATTGAGGATTTTTGCATCAATGTCCATCAGGGATATTGGCTGAAATTTTCATTTTTTGTTTTTGTTGTCTCTGCCAGGTTTTGGTATCAGGATGATGTTGGCCTCATAAAATGAATTAGGGAGGATTCCCTCTTTTTCTATTGTTTGAAATAGTTTCAGAAGGTGTGGTACCAATTCCTCTTTGTACCTCTGGTAGAATTTGGCTGTGAATGCATCTTGTCCTGGACTTTTTTGGTTGGTAGGCTATTAATTACTGCCTCAATTTCAGAACTTGTTAGTGGTCCATTCAGGGATTTGACTTCTTCCTGGTTTAGACTTGGGAGGGTGTACGTGTACATTAATTTATCCATTTCTTCTAGATTTTCTAATTTATTTGCATAGAGGTGTTTATAGTATTCTCTGAGGGTAGTTTGTATTTCTTTGGGTCAATGGTGATATCCCCTTTATCATTTTTTATTGTGTCAATTTGATTCTTCTCTCTTTTGTTCTTTATTAGTCTGGCTAGTCGTCTATTTTGTTGATCTTTTCAAAAAACAAGCTCCTGGATTCATTGATTTTTTGAAGGGTTTTTTTTTTTCTCTGTCTCCTTCAATTCTGCTCTGATCTTAATTATTTCTTGTCTTCTGCTAGCTTTTGAATTTGTTTGCTTTTGCTTCTCTAGTTCTTTTCATTGTGATGTTAGGGTGTTGATTTTAGATCTTTCCTGCTTTCTTTTGTGGGCATTTAGTGTTATAAATTTCTCTCTAAACACTGCTTTAAATGTGTCTCAGAGATTCTGGTACATTGTGTCTGTGTTCTCATTGGTTTCAAAGAACATCTTTATTTCTGTCTTCATTTTGTTATTTACCCAGTAGTCATTCAGGAGCAGGTTGTTCAGTTTCCATGTAGTTGTGTGGTTTTAAGTGAGTTTCTTAATCCTGAGGTCTAACTTGATTGCACTGTGATCTGAGAGACTGTTAGGATTTCCGTTCTTTTGCATTTGCTGAGGAGTGTTTTACTTCCAATTATGTGGTCAGTTTTAGAATAAGTGTGATGTGATTCTGAGAAGAATGTATATTCTGTTGATTTGGGGTGGAGAGTTCTGAAGCTGTCTATTAGTTCTGCTTGGTGCAGAGCTGAGTTCAAGTCCTGGATATCCTTGTTAATGTTCTGTCTCATTGATCTGTCTAATATTGACTGTGAGGTGTTAAAGTCTCCCACTATTATTGTGTGGGAATCTAAGTCTCTTTGTAGGTCTCTAAGAACTTGCTTTATGAATCTGGGTGCTCCTGTATTGGATGCATATATATTCAGGATAGTTAGCTCTTCCTGTTGCATTGATCCCTTTACCATTATGTAATGCCCTTCTTTGTCTTTTTTGATCTTTGTTGGTTTAAAGTCTGTTTTATTACAGACTAGGATTGCAACCCCTGCCTTTTTTTTGCTTTCCATTTGCTTGGTAAATATTCCTCCATCCCTTTCTTTTGAGCCTATGTGTGTCTTTGCACGTGAGGTGGGTCTCCTGAATACAGTACACTGATGGGTCTTGATTCTTTATCCAATTAAAAGTCTGTATCTTTTAATTGGGGCATTTAGCCTGTTTACATTTAAGGTTAATATTGTTATGTGTCAATTTGATCCTGTCGTTATGATGCTAGCTGTTTTGCCCGTTAGTTGATGCAGTTTCTTCATAGTGTTGATGGTCTTTACAATGTGGTATGTTTTCGCAGTGGCTGGTACCGGTTGTTTCTTTCCATGTTTAGTGCTTCCTTCAGGAGCTCTTATAAAGCAGGGCGGGTGGTGACAAAATCTCTCAGCATTTGCTTGTCTGGAAAGGATTTTATTTTTCCTTTGCTTATGAAGCTTAGTTTGGCTGGATATGAAATTCTGGGTTGAAAACTCTTTTCTTTATGAATGTTGAATATTGGCCCCCACTCTCTTCCGGCTTGTAGAGTTCTTGCTGAGAGATCTGCTGTTGCTCTGATGGGCTTCCCTTTGTGGGTAACCCAACCTTTCTCTCTGGCTGCACTTAACCTTTTATGCTTCATTTCAAACGTGGTGAATCTGACGATTGTGTGTCTTGGGGTTGTTCTTCTCAAGGAGTGTCTTTGTGGTGTTCTCTGTATTTCCTGAATTTGAATGTTGGCCTGCCTTGCTGGGTTGGGGAAGTTCTCCTGGATAATATCCCGAAGAGTGTTTTCCAACTCAGTTCCATTCTTCCCGTCACTTTCAGTTCCACCAATCATAGACCAAACATAGATTTGGTCTTTTCACATAGTCCCATATTTCTTGAAGGCTTTGTTTGTTTCTTTTCATTTTTTTTCTCTAATCTTGTCTTTTTACTTTCTTTCATTAAGTTGATCTTCAATCTCTGATATCCTTTCTTCTGCTTGATCGATTCGGCTATTGATACTTGTGGATGCTTCACAAAGTTCTTGTGCTGTGTTTTTCAGCTCCATCAGGTCATTTATGTTCTTCTCTAAACTGGTCATTCTAGTCAGCAATTCCTCTAACCTTTCTTCAAGGTTCTTGGCTTCCTTGCATTGAGTTATAACATGCTCCTTTAGCTCAGAGGAGTTTGTTATTACCCATCTTCTGAAGCCTACTTCTGTCAATTCGTCAAACTCATTCTCCATCCAGGTTTGTTCCCTTGTTCGCGAGGAGTTGTGATTCTTTGGAGGAGAAGAGGCATTCTGGTTTTTGGAATTTTCAGCATTTTTGCGCTGGTTTCTCCCCATCTTCATGGATTTATCTACCTTTGGTCTTTGATGTTGGTGACCTTCGGATAGGGCCTCTGAGTGGATGTCCCTTTTGTTGATGTTGATGCTATTCCTTTCTGTTTGTTAGTTTTCCTTCTAACAGTCAGGCCCCTCTGCTGCAGGTCTGCTGGAGTTTGCTGGAGGTCCACTCCAGACCCTGTTTGCCTAGGTATCACCAGCAGAGGCTGCAGAACAGCAAAGATTGCTGCCAGTTCCTTCCTCTGGAAGCTTCATCCCAGAGGGGTGCCTGCCAGGTGCTAGTGAGAGCTCTCCTGTATGAGGTGTCTGTCGGCCCATACTGGGAGGTGTCTCCCAGTCAGGATACATGGGGGCCAGGGAACCACTTGAGGAGTCAGTCTGACCCTTAGCAGAGCTTGAGCGCTGTGCTGGGAGATCTGCTCTCTTCTTAGCCATCAGGCAGGGACGTTTAAGTCTGCTGAAGCTGCACCCACAGCCGCCCCTTCCCCCAGGTACTCTGTCCCAGGGAGATGGGGGTTTTATCTGTAAGTCCCTGACTGGTGCTGCTGCCTTTTTTTCAGAGATGCCCTGCCCAGAGAGGAGGAATCTAGAGAGACAGTCTGGCCACAGTGGCCTTGCTGAGCTGCAATGGGCTCCACCCAGTTTGAACTTCCTGGAGGCTTTGTTTACACTGTGAGGGTAAAACTGCCTGCTCAAGCCTCCTCAGTGGCGGACGCCCCTCCTCCCAGCAAACTCTAGCGTCCTAGGTTGACCTCAGACTGCTGTGCTGGCAGCCAGAATTTCAAGCCAGTGAATCTTAGCTTGCTGGTCTCCATGGGGGTGGGACCCACTGAGCCAGACCGCTTGGCTCCCTGGCTTCAGCCCCCTCTCCAGGGGAAAGAATGATTCTGTCTTGCTGGCATTCCAGGTGGCACTAGGGTATGAAAAAAAAAAAAAAAAAAAAACTCCTGCAGCTAGCTCAGTGTCTGCCCATATGGCGGCCAAGTTTTGTGCTTGAAACCCAGGGCCCTGGTGGCATAGGCCCTGGAAGGAATCTCCTGGTCTGCGGGTTGTGAAGACCATGGGAAAAGCGCAGTATCTGGGCCAGAGTGCACCATTCCTCATGGCAAAGTCCCTCAGGGCTTCCCTTGGCTGGGGGTGGGGGGAATCCCCCTACCCCTTGTGCTTCCCAGATGAGGCAATGCCCCACCCTGCTTTGGCTCGCTCTCCATGGGCTGCACCCACTGTCCAACCAGTCCCAATGAGAAGAACTTGCTACCTCTCTTGGAAATGCAGAAATCACCTGCCTTCTGTATCGATCTCGCTGGGACCTGCAGACCTGAGCTGTTCCTATTCGGCCATGTTGCCAGCAAATATAGAAAAACTTTTGATAAGCTTACTAAGTTCTCTTTTTGCCAATAATATACTTCTTTTCATTTATTCTTTATTTTAATTTGTTTGTTTTTAGAGATTGGGACCCCCTGTGTTACTCAGGCTGGTCTCAAATTCCTGGCCTTAAACGATCCTCCCACCTTGGCCTCCCAGAGTGCTGGAATTGCAGGTGTGAGCCCATCATTTATTCTTTTGAGTTCTCTAGGCATGGGAAAAATAATTTTTCTACTTATTTCCCATTTCTATACTGGATAGTATTTTCTGAAAAGCTGAGTAATACTGGAGATACTGGGTATCCTTGTCATGTTCCCAATGGTAATGAGAATTTTTCTACCATCTCATCATTAGGCATGAGGTTCTTTATGCCTACTTTACTAAGATTTTGTATCTTAAAAAGTCAGGTATGGCTGGGTGCAGTGGCTCATGCCTGTAATCTCAGCACTTTGGGAGGCCGAGGCAGGTGGATCATGAGGTCAGGAGTTCAAGACCAGTGTGGCCATGATGGTGAAACCCCATCTCTACTAAAAATATGAAAATTAGCCAGGCGTGGTGGTGGGTGCCTGTAATACCAGTGAATAGTTTCTACTCAGGAGGCTGAGGCAAAGAATTGCTTGAACCCAGGAGGTGGAGGTTGCAGTAAGCTGAGATTGCGCCACTACACCCCAGCCTGGGCGACAGAGTAAGACTCCATCTCAAAAAACAAAAAAGTCAAGTATATATATCCTTTATGGATATAATTAATTAATTTATTTTTAAGAGACAAGATCTTGCTCTGTCACCCAGGCTGGAGTGCAGTGGTGTAATCACAGCTCATTGCAATCTGGAACTCCCATGCTCAAGAGATTCTCCCACCTCAGCTTCCTGAGTAGCTAGAACTACAGGCATAGGTCACCAGGCCTGTCTAATTTTTTCAATTTTTTGTGAAGACAGGGTCTCACTATGTTGCTCAGGCTGGTTTCAAACTCCTGGCCTCAAGTGATCCTCCTGCCTTGGCCTCCCAGAGTGCTGGGATTATAGGTGTGAGCCACCACACCCAGCCAGGAATAGATTTTTTATCTTGTCAAATGCTTTTATAGCATGTAGGGCCTTGAACTTTTTATTATTTTGTTACTTGACTCATAAACATAAATTATATAAATATATTTATTAACTTTGAACCATTTTTGCATTCTAGAATCTCTTGACTTGGTTATGGTGTAATACTCTTTAATATATTATCCAATTATAGTTGCTAAAATCACACTTAAGATTTTAATGCCAACATTCATAAATGAGCTTGGTCTTTTCTTTTTAGACTCTATTTAGGTCAGATTTATGTATAAATATTATGCTGACTTTGCCGAACAAGCCTTTCTTTTCACAGCCCCTTTTTCCCCCATGCACTCTTGGAAAGTTTAAATAGTATTGAAATTAATTTTTCCTCAAAAGTTTTAAGGATTTCTCTTATGAAACATGGTACTTTTAGGCAATTTAGGATTTTGGTAAGTTTCTCAATTTATCCCATAGTTATCAGTCTGTTTTCTGTCTCTTCATGGTTCAGCTTTGGTGATTTTTTTTTTTCCAAAAAAAATTATTTGTTTTCAGATTTATTTGCTTTCAACGTTGCAAAGACTTTATTAGGAGCCTTCCTATTTCCCATTCCTCAGATTTCTATTGATGGAAGAGAATGTATGAGTATGATATTTCTGACTGCTCTGTCACCCTTGCTGCCTCTCCCCAAGGGAGGGGGAGTGACTTCTCTGGCTGTGAAACTGGGCGCTTAGCTGAACACGAGTGGCTTGGCTTTATCTCTTTCAAAGGAGCTGCTCCTCAGAATTCACATGCTCCCTTTGGTTCAAGGAGACTGGCCTGGCCCTGCAGGGCCTGACTGTGGATTGGACGGTTTTTTATCCAAATTCTCTGGAGTGTTTGGAAGCTCATTGGGTTGCGATTCTAAGCCTTATATTGTAATCAGCTTAACAACAACAGGTCTGACTTTTGATCTTTATTGATTTAATGCCTCACTCTTAGTTCTCCATATTTTCTCGCTTGGGAGGAGGAAAGAGTGGTTTTATTCATTAGGACCTTCAAACCCTTAATATTGATTTTAATAGATGGCTAAGGACTAGAATTTAGGGGATAAAATAATACATAGAAATGGAACCTTCTTAAAGGCCAGCTTGGGTAGTTTGGGACTATGTCAGGACACTAGGTATTTGAGAAGTGGTTTATAATCACTATCGTCCTGTACCTGGTCTTCACCTGGCATGGGCCTCAGTGTGGGGAGAGAGAGAAGGCACCTCTGTAGCTCATTGACACCAAATGCTACACCTTTGCTTTCACCAAAGCAAGCAGCTAGGACAAGGATTAAATGATCAGAAAAGAACCTTTTAGTTTCAGTTAAAGCAGATTGAGATTCAGTGTGCAGATTTTGTAAGTATTGTGGGTGCAATGAATTTCTCTCTGTAACTTTTTATTCTCAGCAAGGACTGCAGAGAGCTAAGTTATATAAGATCTCTCAAACTTAGATGTGCAAACAAATCTCTCGGGGGGTCTTGTTAAAGTGCAGATTTGGATTCTGTAATTCTGGGGTAGAACCCAAGATTTTGCATTTCTAGCAGGTTTCAGGTGATGCTGCTACTGCTGATCTGAGAGATGCACATTATGAGGTGTTAGACTTTGCTTAGCAGACCCCACTTTGATTTCTTCTTATCTTGTTTTGAACAGCATTCAAGGTGAAAGAAGCCATTTTGGACTCATGCAGCTTGTCCTAGGCTTTGGGTTCAGATTAACCTCCGCCATGTGGCCCCCAGTTGGCGCTGCATGTGCTAATCACATAAATTCTGATCTGGCTTCAAATGTCAGTGACCTAGGCTATCTCTTTACTATGCAGAAGTGGTAGATTTCATTAATAAAAAAAATTAAAGGTAGACTGAACTTTTGTCGTATAGCAAATATGTCATCTTCTTGGTTTGAAATGGAGAAACAATTCAGTGAATGTATTTCAAATTTGCAGGCTAAAGCAGGCGATTTTAGAAGGCTTGTGCCTGGAATACTCTGAGAATCATTTTTCCTGGGGAAATCAAGGAGGAACTAGATTAGTATTTAAAAATATGCTTTCCACTACCATTGGTATTTAAAAATATGCATGCCCACTACCATTAAAACAGGGATTATGGGCAAATGAAAGAAAAATTAAGGAAGACAGACTTAAGAAGAGAGTTTCCCTCTGAGAAAAAGTCAGACCTTACAGGATAGACTAGCTACATATATAGAACATATATACACTCATATCCAACTGCTTTTAAATATAGGCTTGCAAAAGGAAAGATATTTTGGTATTTATCTGAATAGAGAGGGGTTGCTAGAGAATAGAGAAATCTAGACAAGAATTAGAAGAAGCACTGCTCAGATACTAAGAGCAAAGAAGGTCCAAGAGTGCTAGCATTATACAAGATTGAGAAAGAAAGGAAGCCCCTTAAGAAGGAGGTTAAGCAGTTAAAAACCTTAGCTAGGCCCTCCTGAAAGGAGAGAACCCCAGCGGGGAAGAACACAGTCCACTGCAGGTAAAGCTGCGGCAGAATGATCATCACTGTAAGCCCAGGAGATTCAGAAGCAGAGGAAAGAAAGGGCCTTCAGGAGATCAGGACGGTTATTAGCCCTCATGAAAGCCCTTAGGGCACAGGCTTCAGACAGCCTCATAGGCACTCCTGCTCGGAAATTGGCTGAGAGATCCTCTAGCAGAAACACATGTGAAGACAAGGAGAAAAACTGTTCCTTGGAGCCAGGTGTCATGGGCTTCAGCAATCACATTCCAAGAGACAGCAGTAGCTGCCACAGTGTTGCTGACAGGTGCTGCTGAGTCTCTGGGATGTGATAGACCCCAGTGGCATGTATCAGGTTCTACTAAGAACTAGTTCTGAGAATGTTATTTTGTTACATTAACTGCTCTAGGGGCTGTGGATTTACTTGAATTGTTTTAAACTTTGGCAGGTGTGAGGCTGGTGCGTCATATTTGAGATCTTTTAGTCCTTTGAACTTTCCACTTTTAATCAAAGAGAAAACAAAATCCCATAAAAGAAAACCAGCACACAGGGAAAATGTTTTGTAACAAATGTGACAAAGGCTAATTTTCTTAATGCAAAAAACCTAAAATGCAGTAGAAAAAAATGGGCAACAAATATGAACAAGCAATTTATAGAAGAGATAATATGAAAGCCTTTTAAGCAAACGAAAACACTCAACCTCAGCTGTAATTTTAAAAATGCAAATTAAAACAAAGTCCTTTTTTACCTACTAGATTGGCAACAAAGTTTTAAATGTGAAAATGCACTGTGCTGAAGATGTGAGAACACAGGCATCTATGCATTTCTGGCAGAGTGTAAATTGAAAAACTTTCTTTGAAGCCGGGTGCAGTGGCTCATGCCTATAATCACAGCACTTTGGGGGGCTGAGGTGGGTGAATCACAAGGTCAGCAGTTCGAGACAAGCCTGGCCAACACAGTGAAACCCCGTGTGTACTAAAACTACAAAAATGGTGGGGCGTGCCTGTAGTCCCAGCTACTCGGGAGGCTGAGGCAGAAGAATCGCTTGAACCCGGGAGGCAGAGGTTGCAGTGAGCCGAGATTGCACCACTACACTCCAGCCTGGGTGACACAGTGAGACTCCATCACAAAAAACAGAAAAAAGAAAAAACCTTCTTTGGCGAGCAACTTATCAATATTAATAAAAATGTTTTAAGCCCATAGTCTTTGACCTAGCGATCCAACTTGTAGAAAATATTTCTACAGAAAAAAATTACATGTATGCACAAAGATACGATGACTGTGTGTCTATGAGAGTGTATTTCCCAAAGCATTGTTTGTAGCCTGAGAGCAATTTCAATATTCATTAACTAGAAAGTGGTTCAATATATTATGATGCATTCATATAATGCAATGCTATGTAGTCATTAAATGAGTAAGATTTATGCTGATGTGGCTATAGTCTGCAAGATAGATTGCTAATCAGTTAGAACAATGTACAGAACATTGTCAATAGGATGCCATGGTTTGTAGGGAAAATGTGGGGTAGTACATTTATATGCATAAATGCATTGGATATGTTTTATTCTCTATTTCAATGTAACTGGCACTTACCCCTAACTCCAGCCACTGCTGTGATGACCAGTTCTTTGCAGGCTTCAACAAGCTTCACACTGGTGCACTGTGACAGTGTCTCTTCTCAGGCCTGCAGTGTGTACTATTTGCTCCTGCCTGTCTTAGTCAGCTCAGGCTACCGTAACAAGTACCATAGACTGGGGTGGCTTAGAAAATCCAGGATCATGGTGCTGTCCATTCGGATCCTGGTAAGGGCTTTCTTCCCGGTTTTCAAAAGGCTGTCTTCCCTCTGTGTCCTCACATGGCAGAGAGAGTGAACTTCAGTCTCTTCCTTTTCTTATAAGGACACTAACTCCATCATGGGGCCTCCACCCTCATGACCTCGTTAAAACCTAATTACCAACAAAGGCTCCACTTCCAAATAATATCACATTGAGGGGTTAGGGCTTCAACATAGGAATTATGGAGGGACACAAACCTTCAGTCTATGACACTGTCCCAGGGCTTCTCTGAAGCTGCGGAGAGAGACTCTCACACAAACCCATTCAACATTCACGCACTTGCAGTGTAGAAATGCAAGGGAATTAACTGTTTGGATACCCTCCATCAATAAAGCACAGGAAACACTAGATAAGTGCCTCTCGTTTCACACTCAGGTGGACAGTTTAGAGTCACAGTTTATGAAGATTTCCAGAAGCCCCATCAGAATCCAGCTCTTGTTGCTCACAGTAGTGGCCAATTCAATGCTGCATTTCTTTATTGCCTTTTTCTCTTAACTTGTTTAACTCCCCCTGATTGCTACTCGTCCTCCTTGGGATCATGTTGTCAGACTACCTACAAAAAAGCTTTGTATCAGCTCTGATTTCAGGAGAACCCAAGCTAAGAAAATATATATGCTTGCATATGTATAAAATAGTTCTAAAAAATAAAATATGTAACTAATTACCATTATTTACCTCTTTGATGGAGACAGAGCTATGAGAAGAAAGTCCTTATTTTTAGTATATGTCTTCCTGTACTTTTGAATTTTTAAAAAGGTGTACATGAATTATGTACTAAAGAGTTTTTTTAAAGTGTGACATTTTGGGTCACACCTTCACTCAAAATTTTCAGACTTTGCTGCATTATTTTGACATTGATAATTGCTGCAGTAAGATTTGAGGCCAGTCTCAGATACTTTTTTTCCTTATCAGTGACTTACTATTTCTGCCTTAATTGATGAAAAATTTATTCTTGAGTTTATATTTGATATTCAGCAACTTTACCAGGATATACTTTGTGTCAATGTTCTGTATCAACATCTCCCTAAACATATGTACTTTTAGTTTGCACATTTTCTCTTCCATTTTAGAAAATGTTTATTCCATTTTATCTTCAGGTTAGTTTTTTCTCTGTTCCATGAATTGGGTTGTCACCTTCAAAGACTCCAATTATACTTGTGTTGAAATGTCATTGTCTTCCCACTCTGTCGTCTTTTTATTTACTTTATAGATTTCCTTTTCCTTTGCATTTAGTTTGCTTATTTTAAGCAAGTTTTTTCTTTGGTCTGTGTTACCAATGTTCTTAGCCATATATATATATGTATTTTCAATGCCCTTATGTTTCTAGTGCCATGTTAAGCATGGAGTAATTGGAACCAGAGAGCCAGATTTGAATCTTAGCTCCAAAGCTTTCCAGTTGTGTGACCTGAAGCAAATTATATAGCTTCTCTCTGAGGAGGTTTCTATTTTTAAGTATTCTTCTCTTACATAATTATCTACATCTCTGAGTAAGAGAACCTTTCAAGGTTTGTATTTCATAATAGGCAGTCGTACAAAGTCCACTTGGCTTCTTGAATTGCTGACAAAATTGTTTCTGGTGATTTCCAGTTCTTTGAAAGAGGCTACCCTCGCTCTAAGATTTGTTATTTTGGCTCTTCATTCAAGTCCTGCTGAGAGGCAGTATATTATAACAGCTGAAGAGCATGGGCTCTGAAATCATTCTGCCAGGTTCAAATCCTGGCTTTGCCCCTTTGGAGCTCTTTGGAAAGCTACTTAACCATTTGTACTTCAAATTCCTCATCTGTAAAATGAGAAAACAGTAACCCTTACCTTACAGTGTTCTTGTGAGGATTATATGCATAATGTACTCAAAATATTTTAACAGTGTCTGGCTCATAGTAGGCTCTTTGTAATTATTCAGTCTTATAACTACTATTATGTGCTCATTTTATTTATTATTTTTATAATAGTGTTTTTGAGCCTTAATTTTTTATGTAGTTCTCCCATTATATTTTTCATCTTATATTGTTCTATCATCTTTTTTTGCCTGTCATTTTCATTGTTTTCCTATTCCTCTTAAGATTAGAGCACTCATAATGGGAAATTTTCTTCTGATCTATTCAGTTATGTTTTCTCCCAGAAAGGATGGTTTATCTACCACATATATCCTTTTTTTGCCTTTTTAAAAATGATAACATCTTTTGCACAGTTGCCATGCTCTCCCTTTCTCCTTTCCATTTTTCTTGCAGTCAGCTTTATTAAGACCTTGTGTGTCTGTCTCATAAGTTTAGCTTGCTTGTAGAGTGTATTTTGTTTTCTGTGTCCTATGGCCCAGAGAATAGATAATCAGCAGTAATTTTGTTTAGATTCACCTTCTAGGGCCCTTTCTACCACTGTGGGGCTTTATCATATGTTAGTGGGTAGCATCTTTAGACTTCAGATCATTTCCCCAATTCAAGATGGGGCCTTGGAAGCTCTACTTCTGACAGAAATGATTGTCTTAGGTGTTCATTATCTGGCATTGCTGTCCTCCCTCCAGCTGCCATTGCCATACTTAGCTAGTAGAGAAAAAAAAGAAATGCGGAACCACGAGTTGGCAAACACACATATTTTCAAGTCAAGTGGCTTCAGACAGGATGACTGTCATTTGGTAAGTGAAACTCTTTCTCCTGGGTCTCTTATTCCTTGGAAGTTTTCTCCTTACTTACCTGCGGTTTTCTATTCTGCTTCTATTCTATTCTTCTATTCTGTTTATAGCTACATGTACTTATCATGTTCCTACTTTGCTTTTGAGTTTCTTTCTTGCCAAAAAAAAATATGTATATATAGTGTTAAGCTCCAGGAGGTTTTCCTGCTCCAAGGAGGTGTTGTGTGTACATGGTGGGGCACAGAGGTGTGCTACTATTTCCACGTGGTTTCCTTCAGGATAATTATACTAGGCCCTCTGTTTAGTTTTCTTCAAATTAGTGGCAGGGGTAGGAAGGGAAGTTTAGGACCTTTGCTGTTTCCTAAAATATTGCTTCCCTTCTTTCTTTATTTCTGGTGGTGGTTTTTGTTTGTTTGTTTGTTTGTTTTTGCTAAATGCCATGCTTTTTGTCTTATTTGAGAGAGGCAAAGAGTAATGATAGAAGCTATCTTGAGAATGTAAGTTTTAAATAACCATGGTGCCCAATTTTCCACTTCATATATCTGTAAGGTAGACATCAAATTTCTGCTTGGATATTCTCTATGATGATCATTTATAATTTCAGTTACAGTCAGGCCATCTTACTGGGGAAGGGGAAGTAATTCTAATTAGTAATATTTTGTTTCTCTAAAATTTGACCTGAATACTGCCTTATTTTATCTTCTATGTATTGCACCTGAGTCTGTCACGTGGAATTATACAAAGTCAATTGAATAATTAAAGAGTTTACACATCTATATTTTCAGTTTTCTCTCCTGTGGGCCAGTGGTTCCTACCTCCTTCAATCCCCCTCATGTGATATGATTTCACAATTGCTCATTGCTCTCCTAGACCTATTGGTAAATATCCAGATATTAGATATTGGTAAACATCTAAATATCTAGATAATTGGTAAATATATTTTAAGATGTTGTGACCATAATGGAATACACCAATCCAGATGGCTGGAAGAGGCAAATGAGTCTCCTGGTGTTGAACCACGCATATTAGTAGTCAGTAGCAAGGAGGATAGGACTCTCTGATTGTAGGTGGTGTCGCCTGAAGAAACAGGATGAAGAACATGTTTCATTAGTGTTTCGCGGTTGTATGCCTGAGAATCTAACTCTGGCTAATTGAATCAGAAAGGGAATGTATCAGAAGGGTATTGTGGATTTCACATAGTTGAATGAAAAACCAGAGAATCAGACTGGGAAATAAGACAGAAACCAGGACAAAAATTACCTGTTTGTTAAGGTATTACTGCTGGAAAAAATGAACTTCAGCAGTTTCTTCTATCTTCACAGCACTGTTTTCAGCAGACAGAGTCCTAAGTGGATGCCTGATTGGCTGATCCTGGGACACGTGCCTGCTCACTGGATGTACTGAGGCTATGAGAAGAAGGATCTGGCAAAACAAACCTCAGGGACCTCATCAAGAAGGCAGAGGACCTGGACTAACCATGACATCCAAACTGAACACAATTTTAGAGATAATTCCCACAGAAGAGACAGGATTTCTAGAAAATGGAAATAGCCCGCTCTTGGAAAAGAATGGGCATTTACTGAGATGCAACTATAAGCTGGTGAAATATAATTTTGTTTAAAATCATTTAATTTTATTCCACATCATTTTCCTTTGAAGATATTTGAATTGCCAGGGACATTAATATTGTCAAGGAGATTTGCTGTTTCACCCAAATATGAGATGTCCACTTTGGGATTAGATCCCTGCCTCATTCAAATTTCCTTTTCCCTTAGTCTTTTCTTGAGTTACGGACATTTGTTCATTTTTTTCAACTTATTCAACAAGTATTTATTGAACAACTACTATGTGCCATATACTGTTTTTGGTTTGGTATGGAAAGCCTGTAGGAATCTCTGTTGTAATTTTGGGAATTTGCCCAACCTGCTCTTTAGGTGGTGCTATGAACTGACTTGTGTGCTCCCAAAATTTATCTGTTGAAGCTCTAAGCTCCAATGTGATGATATTTGGAGATGGGATCTTTGGGAATTAATTAAGGTTAGATGAGGTCATGAGGATGAGGCCCTTATGATGGGATTAGTGCCCTTATAAGAAAACACACCAGAGTGCCTGCTTGCTCTCTCTCTCTGCCATGTGAAGACACAGTATGAAGGCAGCTTATTGCAAGCCTAAGAGAGAACCCTTGCCAGAATTGGACTTCCGGTCTCCAGAACCATGAAAACATAAACTTCTGTTGTTTAAGCCACCCAGTCTACGGAATTTTGTTCTAGAAGCCCAAGCTGACTAATATGGTTGGAGTCCAGTGCTTTGCGTGAAGAAGGTACATCTCTAAAACTAAACATTTTGCTCATTGAAGCTTGATCTGAAATAATTAAGACTTTGGTCGTGAAAATCTTAGACAGAATCCATTCAGTGACTACCTTTATTCTGAATTGGCAGGCAGGCAGTTCTGATAGATCTGAGAAGATTCTTTTGACAACAATTTCTCCAACTTCAGATATGTTGAAAAACAAAATAAATATGTTAATAATTAACATGATGTAATGAACTTCAGTAGTAAATTAAGACTAGAAGAGATTAGGGGTACCAGGAATCTTGGTTGTAAAGTGGCATATATAAACATAGTTGCATCAAAACTTGCTAAAGTGGCCAGGTGCAGTGGCTCATGCCTGTAATCCCAGCACTTTGGGAAGCCGAGACAGGTGGATCACCTGAGGTCAGGAGTTTGAGATTAGCCTGGCCAACAGGGTGAAACCCTGTCTCTACTGATAATACAAAAATTAGCCAGACATGGTGGCACACGACTGTAATCCCAGCTACTTAGGAGGCTGAGGCAGGAGAATCGCTTGAACCTGGGAGGCAGAGGTTGCAGTGAGCCGGGATCGCACCATTGCACTCCAGCCTGGGCAACACGAGCAAAACTCTGTCTCAAAACAAAACAAAACAAAAAAAAACACACATGAACAAAAAACAAAACAACAATGACAAAAAAACTTGCTAAAGCATTGGAAGTATTGAGGCCATTTATTAAAGAAATGCTGTATAAAATAACAGCAGAAGAAATGAGAATGGAAAGAGATTTCTGAAAAAGAATTATAAGTGACTGTAGGGAAGTGTTAGTTTTGTTATAGGGTAGTCGGGAGTGCAGAATACATAAAAGACTTGATTTTACCTATAAAGCAGTAGTTTATTAAAGAATATAGCAAGAGGAATAGATTGTTGGAAGGATAGTTTGGTTCATCGTCAGAAACTCACTGCCTTATAGCCTATCCCTCCCTCCTTAAGAGGCATGCCCTTGTGGACTTAAAATTTCTTTGGCTCAACGCACAGGAACAGCTTAAGTTGTACCTCTTTTCAGTTGGTTTCATACCTTTGCAGAACATCCAAGGGCAACATACATATCACTATTACATTTGGATGGGGGAAGTACTGACTCCACTTTGCTCATTTTAATCAATACTAGTCTCTTTTCCTATTTCATACTCGATGTAATTTTGATAATATAAAAAAAACTTATAGTTCCTCTATTAGTATATTTATTGGAGGTACTTCGATACATAATTTCTATAAGCAACTTTATTGAATTATGCATGTGGAACCAGATCTTAATGACAACCTCCTCTCTCTAACCTCTAACACATTTGCTGTAATGAGCAGGATAATGCACCCTGCCACACACATACACACACACAAAGATGCTCACATCCTAATCTCTGGAATCTGGAAATATTTTATGTTTCATGACAAAGGGGAATTAAGATTGTAGATAAAGTTAAGGTTGTTAATCAGCTGTTGTTAAAATAGGGAGATCATCCTGGATTATCTGGATGAGTCCAGTGTACTCACAAGTTTCCTTGCATGTGAAAGATGGAGGCAAATGAATTTGTGTCAAAATGTGTGAGAAGGATGTGATCTGTCATGGCTGGCTTTGAAGATGAAGGGAGCCATGAGCCAAGGAAGGCAGGCAGCCTCTAGATGCTTGAAAAGTCGAGGAAACAGATTTACACCTAGACCTCCAGAAAGGAACACACCCCTGCTAACACTTTGAAATCAGCTCAGTGACACCCATGTTGGACTTCTGATCCCTAGGGCTATAAGATAGTAAAGGTTGATTGTTTTAAGCCACTACATTTGTGGTAATTTGTGACAGCAGCCATAGGAAACATATACTTGCTATACAGTAATCCCTTGGTATCCATGGGGAATTGGTTCCAGGACAACCCCCCTTCCCATGGATACCAAAATCTGCGGATGCTCAAGTTTCTTATATAAAATGGTGTAGTATTTGCACATAACCTATGCACATCCTCTTGTATATTTTAAATCACCTCTAGATTACTTATAATACCTATAATACAATGTAAATGTTATGTAAATACTTGCTATACTGTATTTTTAAAATTTGTATTGTTTTTTATTGCTGTATTGTTAATTTTTATTTTTCAAATATTTTTGATCCTTGGTTGAATAAACGAGCGCAGAACCCGCTGATACAGAGAGCTATTGTGCGTATTTTGTCTTATACCTCAAAGTTAAAGTAGGTATTTGTTTAGAGAGGTCAGGCAATTCAAGAACATGGCAATCTACCTTCTAGAATTCTGGTTAAAGACATTCAGGAATACAATATAAAAAGGTGGATCTCTCCAAATACTGATATTTGCATCAGAAGAGATTTTGGTTATTCATATAATGATTGAAATGAAAACCACAAAGTCTAGTGAAGAAAATACCTTTTTCTTCAAATGTAGAACAGCTTTATGGAAGGTTTAAAATTAATTTTAAATTTCAGTTTCTTCTGAATAAATGGATCCTTGGAACCCTTTTGTTGTTTATCAGATTGGAGGACATCTAAAATGAAGCATGATGAAAATTCCATCCATGAAAATAGATCTTTGCAAAATGTCATGGTAATTATTCCCAGTCTCAAGTCCATATGCAAAAGTCCAATATAGGTTTTTTTTTTTTGGCAACTGTAACAATAGTATTTCCCATGTACCCAAATTGTGAGTCCTGCTTATTAGAAATAATTAAGATAATAATAATGCATTGCTCCTCACTCTGTCTGGTGTCTTTAGATGGACCTGGCTGTCCACACACTGGTGTACCTGGAATGTGCAAAATCTGCTGCAGGAGTTAATGTCTTATCTCTGACTATTCTGATCTGACCTGTTGCTGTTACTTCTTTATTTCCTCAGTTCCTTCATAGGCTCTCAGACTCAGCTTTGATAATTTGCCCATGTTCCCCACACCTTTGTTCCCCATGCCATTGACTAGTCTATTTGGGACACACTTTCCTGTTTTCCCTTGGGACTTTAGGACCCCATTTTTGTATTTGCCTTTATCTTAGTCTGCTTGAGCTGCCGTAACAAAATACCATAGACTTGGTGGTTTAAAAAACAGATTTATTTTCTCACACTTCTGGAAGCTAGAAGTCCATGATCAGGGTGCCAACTAGGTATAGTTCTGGTAAGGGTTCTCTTCCTGGCTTACAGATGGCCGCCATCTCCCTGTGTGCTCACATGATTTCTTCTTTGCATGAGCATGCATAGAAAGAGAGAGCAAACAAACAAGCTCTCTGGTGTATCTTCTTATAAAGGCACCAATCCCACCAGGAGGACCTCATCTTCATGACTTCATCTAAACCAAATTTTCTGCAAAAGGCCACATCTTCAAATACCATCTCATTGGGGGTTAGGTCTTCAACACATGAATGGGAGGTTGGGGACAATTCAGTTCATCACAGCCTTTTTTGTCTCATGAAGCTTGATTCGAGGTAAAAGACAACCAGAAGATGACTTTCAAATGGCGAAAACTTAATCTCATTGATTCTGTCTTTAAGGAATATGCTGCCTTTATTGTTTTCTTCAAATTGATAGCAATGTATATTTTTAAATTATTATTTAATTGCATAACACTTAATATGAGATCTATCCTCTTAACAAATTTTAAGTGTACAGTGCATTATTTTTGACTATACATACAATGTACAACAAACCTCAGAAGCTTATTTAACTTACTTAACTGAAACTCTACACCTGTTGATTAATAACTCCCACCTCCTCCTACTTCCAGCTCCTGGTAACCACCATTCCAGTCTTTGTTTTCTAAGTTTGACTATTTTAGATACATCATCTAAGTGGGATCATGCAGTACTTGCCTTTCTGTGTTTGGTTTTATTTCACCTAACATAATGTCCTCAAGGTCAATCCATGGTGTTGCCTATTACAGAATTTCCTTCTTTTTTAAGGCCCAGCAGTTTTCCACTGTATGTATATACCACATTTTCTTTATCCATTTATCTGTTGATGGACATTTGTTTTCACATCTTAGCAATTGTGAGTAGTGTTGCAGTGAACACAGTAGTGCCAATATCCCTTCAAGATCCTGATTTCAATTCTTTTGGATACATACTCAGAAGTGAGGTTGCTGGATCATATAATAGAAACATATTTTTAAGGACCTTTTAAGGTTTACCATGAACATTAACTACTAATATTCTTTTTCTGTAAGATCTTTTATTTCACGAATCTGAATTCTTCTACCAAGGGGATTTTTAGGAATCAAATTCTCATAGTTGGTGAGAAACTGGTATATTAAGAATATAAATTAATTACATTGTATGATATTTGAGATTTTTCATTAGATATCATCTAAAATATCACATTAATATTCATTCATTGGCTTTTTGGTATAAATCTTACTTTTAAATCAAAGTATAGAAGAGATTTTGAGGGAAATGCTCTCAAATAGCATAGCATAGATGAGACATAATTGATTATTTTATTATGCTTCAGTGCCAATTGTCTTTAAGATCCAGTAGGGAAACAGAGGGTGGCATTAAAAAAGTTTGAGTTGTGATTCAAATACAAGGTGTCCAGATGGAAACCTCTATATTAGAAGCACATTTTTCCTGCACAGTTTTATCTAAGATGGGCTGGAAGGGATCTGGAGACCTGCAGGAATGTGTTTAAGGATGGCAAAGATAAAAGTCTCTGAGTAATGTGGGAGGAAGACTGGGTGTTGATGGTGTTTCCTTGACTGCCGTGGTCCCAGTAGCTTCCTCCTCTTGAGTCTGGCTGTGTTCATTGTTAATGTCAGGAAATCAGGCAGCATTCTATGGAATGATGAAGAGGATCTCAGATAAGTGAGAATTAATTACATGGGATAGGCATTGCCTAAAAGCTGTCATTCTTCAGTTGAGTGCCTGCAGGGGACAATCGGATCCTCCTGCAGTATAATCACCACCTTACAGTGGAGTGACCTGATTTGCAAAAATACAGCAATAATAAAATAACATTTACATAGCAATTTATACTTTACAAAGAGATTTCATGATCATTTCTTTATTTTATCCCTGTAAATACTCTGCAAAGGAGATAGGGCAGGGAGAGCTACCCTTTTTCTAAAAGAAGAAGAAACAGAGAGAGGTTGACCTGCCCCTAATCATACAACTACTATGTGGGAGAAACCTGGTTTCCTGGGTGCACTCTTGCCACCACACCTTGCTCCACTGGTGAGTAGGAAAAGCCACCCAACTCTTCAGACCCACAGCAAAAGAGAATGTGCAGCCTGCTGCGAGAGTGTGTGTGCATGGATATGTGGAAGTTTGCGGTAATGCTACAAACAGGGAGCATCACAGTAAAAGACACTATTTTATATAACAGAGGTGGCACAGGGAGAAAGAGAAAGAAGGAGAGGGAGAGAGAATGAGAGTAAAAGTGAGAATAAGAGGGTGGATCTTGAGGAAAGAAAGAGGGTGATGGAATCTGAAAACCGTACACTAAAACTAAAAACCAAAATGTCAAAACTTTTTTTGTTTTTGTTTTTCAAGACGGGGTCTTGCTGTGTTGCCCAGGCTGAAGTACAGTGGAGTGATCATAGCTCACTGCAACTTCCAGCTCCTGGGCTCAAGTGATCCCCGCCCCACCTCAGTCTCCCAAGTTGCTAGGACTACAAACACACACAACCATGCCTGGCTAAGTTCTTTAAAATTTATTAATTTTAAAAAAATTGTTTTAAAGATGAGTTCTCGCTATGTTGCCCGGACTTGTCTCAAACTCCCGGCCTCAAGTGTTCCTCCCACCTCAGCCTCCAGAGTTGCTGGGTTTACAGGTGCAAGTCACTGCACCTGGAGTAAACATTTTCTAAGGGAACAAAATAAAAGAGAGAGAACTCACAGAAATGAGACCACTCAAGTCTCAAGCCCTATCTAGCATAAGCAAAACACTACCATTATAAAGAAATGCCTGAATAAACATACAGTCTAAACTCACAGAGCTCCTTATTTGGAAGGAGCATATCATCTAAAAGGATGAATGATATCTGTAAAGCTCACTGGAGACAGGCTCAAGGTGGTAGGTAGTTGGATTTTCCAGGATCAATAGATTGCTTGAGGCAAGTACCAGCAACAGAGCCAGTGGATGGCCACCTCTAAGAGGCTAGGGTCATGTTTCAGCTTTTCTTTGTAAGGGAAACTCCCTAGCCCCATGGTTTCCCAGCATTCAGGGCAGCACAAGAACCATTAATGGGAACAGAAGGTAGATGCTGGACTCAAAATCTGTACTGGATCTCTGCCACTCTGACTTGGCCACTCCATTTAGAGGCCTCTTGTTGCAGGGCTTTGGTCAGGAGCTCTTTTATAGGCCTGCCCATGCAAAGAGTATAGTTATCATGTGAAGAAAGTTTTCTCTGACCCCTGAGGGTACAGAAAAGAAAAGGCTTGTGTGAGTACTGAGTGCCAATGAACCTGTTAAAAAGATGTTCTGTTTAGGGCACCTCCTGGAGCACTTGTTCAATCAGTGCACAGAGCCTGAGTATACTTTGGAACTGGGAGGGAGGGCAAGTGCCTGAGGAGTGCACCTGTCAGACATTGGTTGTTAACCACTGTCTCTTTCCACTAAGCCTGGACATAGCTAGCCAAGCCACTGTCATCAATAACCAGTCTGAATTGGCATAATAAATAACATCTCTTTGCCAACTTTCTCCTAGATATTCGGGTAACGTTACACACTTGTTACACTTTTGTGATAGGCAATGAACAGTTTGGGGGGGACATGAAACATTATGAGAAGGTGAGACAAGCTTAGGTTCCCCAGGTGAATATTTGGCCCTATTTTACCATGGGCCAGAGTCATTAAATGCTTTAGTCCTTTGAAAGATGTAGCGGCAAGAATAGAAAAGGTAAGGTGATGAGCCACCCAGTTATGGAGCCCTCCAAATGCTATGGGGATGTAAGCACTCTTGGAAACATATCTGGCCACTGTGAATGAAAACAAATGGATCAGAACCAACTACTTTTAGGATAAAATATCATCACAATAAAAATATGGTAAAAGACAATAAATAAGAAAAGGAAAAAAATCCACAGATCACTGGCTGCTTGGATTTTTCAAAGAAAAGTATGTAGCTGGTGCTATTTTTACACATCTCGGGTGTATTTCCAAGGCCACAAAATGAGTTGACAATGATTTACTGACTTTTGAACATAATTTGCAGCTGCTTTGTATCTCAAACTAAGTCTCAATTTAATCGTGAATTAGTCGCAGCTATGGTAAAATGCAAACTTCAATTTAGCATTGGGAGAGAGAGTAAAGTCAAAACAACCACTTGTTTCTTGATTCAACCAAGTAATTGGTTGATCTGGGGAAGAAGAAAACAATTGTTTGAGAGAATTGGTCACAAAGATCTCAGCAGACTCTCAACACAGGCCCAGCCACTGAGCCTGCGGCCATGTCATTATTGCTGTTTCCCCAATAGACTGTTCCCTCAATGGCACCGACGTTCTGTGATTATCTGATGAGACCACTAGAAACCCTGAATGGCTCAGTTGTCTCTCCTGCCAGTCTCCTTTCCTCATACTAAGGCTTATTATGTGTGAAAGAAATAAATACATTAAGTGGGAAAGTGATAGAATTGAAAAGACAATGAACAGCTGCATTGAAATATATCTTTTCAATTTAGTGCTTTATTTAAGGGTTTCAACTCAGCATAGAGACATTACGTTTTCTTGAGCCATCCAGGAAATCATATCAGTTACAAGAAGGTTGGCTCACTTGAGCCTCTGATTTGCCTGCCCATTTAATGGAGAAGATAAAAGGCTGCATTAGGCTCTCTACTTTGTCCTTCATGGGACTCCATCTCAATTCTCTGCAGTCATCCACACTCTTTTTTTTCCAAAGACCTATTGACTTTAGGGAGGGTTATTATTGCAAATGCAATTTGGTTAGATGCTCAAAAGAAAAATGCTTGACTATCAGAAACCACTATCTAAGCTAATTGCCCTTTGAGTGCAAAGTAATAAAGCTGAGAATCCATGGCAAAATTAAAAATGTGTCCAACCTGACAATTTTCACCTTGTGTTAAGGTCAAATTACTTATACTTATTCATAAATGAAGTTTCCTGACCTTGTTTTATGATTAAGAAGTGTATAGCACATTGAGTAATTACATAAATATCCTTAGTATATGTTGGATACATTAATAGTGTTATGGGGATAGGGAAGCTATGCAAGGCCCCAAACTCTACCTCTAAAAATTGTATCCTTTTATCATGTGCATACCCACAGCTCCTTTTATATTTGTTTAGTACTTCCCTCATTATCTTAAAGTTCTATTTTATTTATTTACCTGTTTATTTTACTGTTATGACTTTCCATTTGGATGACTGCTCTTTACACCTGTTGAGAATGCAGACCCCCTGGGGGCAGCTGACCAGCCTTAAAGTGAAAACTAGTGTTCACAAGTTTATCACACTGTCCATGCTGAAGTATTTTAAAGTAGATTCTAGTTAACATACAAATCTCTCGTGAGATCAAAGTTAGGAAATATGGTTGAAGTCAAAGGGTGTAATGGTTAATACTGAGTGTCAACTTGATTGAAGGATACAAAATATTGATCCTGGGTGTGTCTGTGAGGGTGCTGCCAAAGGAGATTAACATTTGAGTCAGTGCGCTGGGAAAGGCAGACCCACCCTTAATCTGGGTGGGCACAATCTAATTAGCTGCAGCATGGCTAGAATATAAGCAGGCAGAAAAATATGAAAACAGAGACTGGCCTAGCCTCCCAGCCTACATCTTTCTCCTGTCCTGGATGCTTCCTACCCTTGAACATCGGACTCCAAGTTCAGTTTGGGGACTAGGACTGGCCCTCCTTGCTCCTCAGCCTGCAGATGGCCTATTGTGGGACCTTGTGAGTATGTGAGTTAATTCTTATATATATATATATATATATATATATATATATATATATATATATATATATGGGTTTATGAAGAAGGTGGGTATAGATAACTCTGCATTTTTGCTAAAGGGGAAATGGATCAGTGGGTTACCAGAAAGTATTTTGTTTAGTTGCAAAGCAATGGAGCATGTCAAAGCAATGATATAGCAGAAGGGTAAATAGGTGATTCAAGAGAAGGAATAATTGCAGAGTCAAGTCATATATACCCATAATAAACCCATATATGTATATATATATTCCATTAGTTCTGTCCCTCTAGAGAACCCTGACTAATACAAAGGGACTTCAGAAAACTCTATTAGTCCCATCTTTATCTCTCTCTCTTTTTAATTTCTTCTTCCTTTTTAGCTTCTTCCAACCTTCCTTCAACATTTCCATTTATAATAAACAATCTTAAACACAACTCATTCCTCTGCAAAGACGTGGAATGTTTTTCCTATTTTCCTTACATTAAATGAGTCATAACTTACTGAAACTTAGTGGAAAACCTACTGACAAAAGAAGAATATTGACAATATAAAACCACTGGGGAAATGGTGTGAAGCAAGGAGGAGGTCCCTAAGCCTCTTGAACAGGGCTGATAAGAGTGAAATAGGTGCTCTTCAGAGTCAACGGAAACAGTAGGGATGGTGGGGTTTATTCTAGGACCACATAATAAGAGGAATGAAAGTGCTATCTATAGTAATTACATTTTTTACACCTACCATATTGGCAAAAAAATTGATAACATGAAGATGTGTGGAAATGCATTCATAAATTATTGGCAAACATACATTTTTACATTCTTTGTAGATGTCCATTTGCCAATATCTATTAGAATTACCATTGCATATAAATTTTGACCCCAACATTTCACTTCTAGGAATTCATTGTTCAGTTCCATGTACACGTGCAAAGACATATGTAGGAAGATATTTCTTGCAGCATTGTTTATAGTAGCAACTAAAATAAACAGTAATAAGGAAATGGTAAAATAAATAAAATATGGCACATACAGCTCGATGCTATATGTAGTCATTTATTAAAAAATGAGGCAGCTCCATATGTACCCATAGACATGGAACATTCCTTGCCTCAGTTATCTATTTCTATCATGATGGCATGTAACACATCATCAAAAATTTAGTGGCTTAACACCATAAACATGTATTTAGCTTAATCATCTGTAGGTTGATGATTTAGGCTATGCAGTTCTTCTGGTTTCAGCTGGGCTTGCTTGCATATCTGTGGATCAGCCGGATATTGGCCAAAGTGATCAGAGGAATCTTTTCCCCCTCCACCATCAAATGTGCCATCATAACTCCATTGGTGCCCATATATTGTGCCTTCCCTTGTGTCATAGCAGGTGTGCTGTCCTGGCTCCGGTCTGAGGCTCACCCCTTTATGAGGTTATCTACTTATTGACTTGACTCTGCAATTATTGCTTCTCTTGAATCACCTATTTACCCTTCTGCTATATCATTGCTCTAAAAACATGCTACATTGCTTTGCATCTAAACAAAATACTTCCTGGTAACCCACTGATCCTTTCCCTTTTAGCAAAAATGCAGAGTTATCTATACCCACCTTCTTCACTTCCTCACTTTCCATTCTTTCTTGAACCCACTCCTGTTGAGCTGTTGTCCCCACCAATCCACTGATACTGCTTTTGCCAGTGTCTTCATCGATTTCCATGTTGCCATGTCAAATGATTCCTTCTTCATCGTCATCTTACTCAACCTCTTGGTAGCAGTTGGCATAGTTGATCACTTTATCCTTCTTGAAACTCTCTCTTCTTTTGGCTGCAAGGAAACCTCCCTCCTTGTTTTCCACCTATCTCACTGGTTACTACTTCTCATTTTCTTGGGCTGAATCTTTTTTATCTTCCTAACTCTTAAATGTTGGAATACTCCAGGCTCAGTCCTCAAATCTCTTCTCTCTTCTTTCACAACTCATTTCCTAGATGATTTCATCCAACCCCATAGTTTTAAATACCAACTATATGTTGATAGATCTCAAATATACTTCTCTATTTGTCTTATAAGAAATATTATTCCCTGTCTGTGGAAAAATGCAATAAATAACCCTACACATATATCTTTCATTAGTATTGATTTTACTTCTTGGAAGTTGATAGTTGGGAGGAATGGTATATTTTTCAATTCTGTTGCTATTATTAAATTGCTCTTAAAAAGACAGCAACATGTCACATTTCTACCAGAAATAGTGGAGAGTATACTTTTTCTTGCAACTCTGCAAGTAATAGGTATTCTCATTTCATTTTTGTGTCTGATGGGTTCAAGGAGATGTCAACTTTTAGTAAGCGGTGGTAACAGTCTATCTAGTGTAACTGACTGGCCAGAGTAGCAGAGTGAGAGGTGGTAGGAGGGTTATTGTTGAAATAACCAATATCCTGTGCTGTGTACTGTAAGAGAAGAAAAGAGAAGAGAAGAGGATGGGGTTTTCTGTAAAGGTTCTAGTAGAACAGCTGACCAAGCTTCCTAATGTGTTGAAGATTGTGGTCCAGAGACTTTTGGAAATATAATAAATGTCCACTTTAGGCAATTGTATTGATTAATGTCAGGTGCAGGGTGCAGCTAAAAGTAACAGAGACAATAACAGTACAAAAAATAATATCTTACGTGATAGTCTGGAGGTAGCAATTCAGGATTTCAGGGTTGGTAAGGCCCTGCCCAGTGTCAGCCTTTTCTATCTGTTGAACTGAAATTCGTGGCTTCAGTTCCCAATGTCACCTCATAATCAAGTATGGCTGCTGGAGCTCCAGCAATTACATCTACATCAAGTGGAAAAAGGAAGAAATTGAAGAAGAAGAACACATTCCTTCCCTTTAAGGAAATTCCTAGAAACTGTGCACACCAATTCTGCTTATAGCTCATCAGCAAGACCAGGAAATGTCTATTCCGGATGGCCAGCTAAAAATCGAGAGTTCTTTTTCCAGGTTGACTGAGAGAAGTAGAATGTATAATGGAGGAAATTAGAAATTTCTGCCACAGCTATCACTGTCTCAAGTAGAAATTGTCTAAGAAAAGGCTTAACTACAATGATGATGGCAAGTTCCTGGGTTTGGGTTATTAAACACAGCCTTAGATAGGAACTGATTATCTTGAACTAAATAGACATGATTGGGTTCATTTCTACAAACTTCCTCACTTGTGGTTCTCAACTAGCATTGATTTCACCCCCCAAGAGACATTTAGCAATTTGAGACATTTTAGTTGGTCCCAATTGGGAGATGGTGGATGCCACTGGCATTAATGGGTAAAGACTAAACATCCTACAATACACAGGACATTCACACAACAAAACTTATCTAGTCCAAAAATGTCATTAGTGCTGAGGTTGGTAAACCTTTCCATAAGCAATTCATAAAGGCTTTAGTCAAATTTCAGGGTCTAAGCAGAGAGCTGTGTGCATTGCCAATTTTGAGCGATTAAAATAATTACATTTCATATTACTCTGGCTTCATTTGGGCCATGGAATTCCTCATTTGATCCACTGGGTGAGAAATTAAGTAATTATTTCCCCAAAACACATGATCTCTTTTTATGTAGACTTTTTATGTTGCTATGTGGCAGTGTGACCTATCGTTATGATGTTAGTACGATCATTTCAGAATCATTTTCAACCCTCTAGACCAACCTACTTTTCTATCCTTCCTGAGATGGGTGATGTTTTCCTCTTTCATATTTCCTGTTTCTCACTGCACTTACCACATTGCACAATAATCACATGTTGACACGTCTGAATCCCCTACTGGATCACAAGCTCCTTTAAATCAGGGACAATATTTTATTTATTTTTGTATTTCTAGTGCCCAGTGCAGAGTATGCAACTTAGCAGGAGCTCATAAATACACATTGAACTGAACTGAGCTCCTGTTTATCCTTGGGCCTCTCTTCATTCCAGGCCTGCTTGGATATCTTCTGGTTTGGCACTCACAGCAAAGAACCTATCACTAAAATGCTTCCCATTCTGGCACTTCATCTAAAATCCAGAGGATGGGAAAATTCAGAGAACAGGAACTAAGGTGTTAATAATTTAGTTTCTCCTGTGCCCTCTCTGAGTCAGCTGCCTCTCTGTGGTTTACATTTTCTCCCAACCACATCCAGCTTTCAAATATAAGTATCAACTAAAAACTCATTGAGGTGGTTTTTGATGTAGGAAACAGAAATTGAGTGTGTTCCATTTTAAAATTTTCTTGAGGGAAAGATGATACCACCTGGCCTGAAGTTGGCAGGTTGGTTCCAAGGAGGTTGAGGAACAAAGGTGGAGGAGGTAGGAAGCCATAGCAGTGAAAATGTTTGCAGGCCCAGGAGCAGGATGAGAATTTACTGCAAACTGGCGGGTGGTGTCAATTCTCTATTTTGGTTGGTGGAAGAGGTTAGCTATCATGAGAGTCCACAGGCCTATCCACACATCCTTCAGCAGGCTTCTATTGAAGGATTCTTCTGCCTGGAGATAGTTAAGGTGGTTTCTCTTTCACTAAGAACATATCATATCCAACAGAATCCAGCACATTCTAGTTAGAGATTTTCTTGAGACCAATTTATATAACCTAACAACTATTAGGTAGAAAAGGATCTTCTCACAGCACCATGAATAGAGACAGCTTTTTCTGACCACTCATCCATCCTCATGTTTTTTTGGGGGGGTGGGGCAGGGGGGTGATTTGGGGGTTATGGTTTATTTAATGAGATGCACGGCCAATAATCTTTTAAAAATATCAAGAATACAATATCTTCTGTACTGCTGTGATGCCTCTGTTGAGACTTACTGAATGGCCATGCATGGAACTTGAATTGACCAAGACCATTTATTCATTCATACATTCAGTCATGCATACATGCATTTAATTTATATTTATTGAGCTTTTACTAGGAGCTAGATGTTCATGAAGATTGTAAGACACTTTTACTAGGAGTTAGATGTTCATGAAGATTGCAAGACACAGAGCATGGTTCTGTCCTGATACAGTCTAGGCAAGATAAAGATAAAAGGTGGGATGGTGATAAGAACAATGGTGACTAAGAGCTTAAGAAAATGGTACAGAGTCAGAGTGTCAGTGAGTTCAGAAGAGTAAGCAGTTCTTCAACATAGACTCCAGAGGTTGGGAAAAACTTGATGAGAAGTTGAAAACTGAGCTGAGTCTTGCAGGGTGGGTAGGATCTGGACGTGCCTTAGGGCTCTACACCTGTGGTTCTTTCTTCATAGAATGCTCTAATGCTTGGATCAATCCTCTTAATTTTTTATATCTCAGATTAAAAGTAATTCCCTCAGAGAAGGCTTCCATGACCCACTGGATTAGGTAACATGCCACCTTTACGTGTCATCATAAATGTACTTCTGTGTAGCACTTATCAAAACTAGAGCTTAAAGCTCCTGAAGGAGGGACTATGTTTATCTTGTTCACCTTTGAATCCCCAGAACCTATTAAAGTTTTTGAAACTGAGTAGGTACACCATAAATATTTGTCCAAATAATAAATGAATAAGTAGGCGTAGAGAAACGGTGGGTGTTCCTGAGTAGTATGAGCGGGTGTAGACATGAGTGTGTGCATGGCAGGCTGTGAGGTTCTGTGTAGATTGCATAGTATACCTGTGTGTGGAGCAGTGGAACATGATTGTGAGGGTGGGTTGACTGTCTAATATCAGGGAAAGAGGTTAGTCTTTTTCTATTGGTCATGAAGCTGTGGAAACAACATACTGAAATTGATTATTTTGAAAATTAATCTGTTTATATTACAAGAGTGAATTTGATGAGGAAAGGATTTGTAGAGCTTTGCATCCTTAATAACTAACAGAAACAGGGCTGCCTTTCAAGAATCTGGAGTAGGAGCTAGTTTATTAAACAGTGACTTAATATTTTCAAACTAGAGACAATAAGGGTCAAATCCCTACCTCATAGAGACATGGAAAATGGAAGCTCCTCGTTCCTATGATAGGTTGTGTAACCCCCATGCAGGTTTATTCTGTGAGGATGCTAAATATACCAATCAGACTGCTCCTTCATTTAGGAAATTGCACAATGAAGCTTTAAAGATTAAAATTTAATTCCTTCCATGAGTTCATCTGAATTGAAATGTCTTTTGAAAACCCAGATTGCAATATCCTCTCCCACTACTCCTCCTGACCTTTCCCTTCCTTGATTCCATTCCTCTTTAATTTCCTGAGCTCTGGCTCATATGTGGAGAATTTATTTCATTCTACAACCTCCCAAGCATTTACTCATAAAAGGATGTCCTAGAGGCAGAATGGAGCCATGTAATCATGAACACTGATTATGTGGCTTCCACCATCCTGTGGGCTCTTCACTCTCCCCTTCATTAGACCTTCAATTAGACTATAAACTCCTTGAGGACAGGGTCCAATCATAATTCACCCTTGCATCCACTTATCATTACCTGCATTTTGTGGAGATAGCTCTTTGGTATGTTTGTTGAATGATTTGAGTCATTCAACAAACGACTCAAGAATGGGTCAGAAGTTTAGATGCAGTTTGCTGGCTCTCATCTGGGAATGAGAGAAAGTCTCATACAGTCCCTCTAGAACTAGGACTTTTCTGGAATCAGAGTAGAATCAGCCCCACTAATTCTGGTGGGTTCTGGTTTCACTTTAGCCAGACTTGGCTACCTGTCCTTTTAGTTATCTGACCAATTTAGTTATGCTACTAGGTCCAGGCTTCTTACTTGGGAGGTGGCCAGGCACATGCTAATGATTCCAAGTCAGAGTTGCAGTAGAGTTGAGAGGGATAAGAAATAAAAATGTCCCATTCTGTGACTGGAAAGTAATCTACTAGATCTATTAAGATTCCTGAAAATGACTCTCTAACATTATGGTATGTGTGGAATTGCTCACACATATGTGTATTACACACATGTAATAAACACGTGAATGAAGTTTGCTGTTCGTTTCACCCCATCTTGTAAATACAATTCAGGCAAATGGAAGAGTTGGCAGAGCAGTGGAAAAGGCATTAGAATCAGATTCTATCTTCCCAATAATTTAATAAGACTCAGCCTTCTCACCCATAAAATAAGGAGTTGGAATACAACAGCTCTTTAGAGCACTTCTAGCTCTCAAATTCCATTATTCATCAGCCTGCCAGAAAATACATCTTCCCTTGCCAAATATGGACTCAACACCCCACCTCTTCCAGAAGTTCCCCAGATACCCCTACACACCTCCCTGGTTTCAGCCTCCTACTTCTCCAGCCTTCTCCAAGGCATTCTTCTCTCCCACTGCTAGCCCACACCTAAAAAAATGACTTCTTTTTATCAGCTCTTTTCTCTTTGCTTCCTCTTTCTGCATTCAAACCAGATTCGTCTCCAATATTGTTTGTTCACTGCCTAATGAAGATCAGGTCTGCAGTATGATTCTCATGGGTCCCAGGCACTTTTGCCTTCATGGGCCCCTTACTCCATTAAAAAATATTAAAACTGTTATTTTACAACTGTGTTAGTATAAAGTTGATTATTTTAATACTTTATATTAAAACATTTTCTGCAGCCTCAAGATTGTTGTGTGTGTGTGCGTGTTGTGTGTGTGTTTACTACTACGCCTAATGGATGGGTTGGCTCTGGAGGAAATAAGTAATCAATTACAGTATAGTATGGTAATTATACACATGTCCTATGAATAAGCAATAGACCTACACCCAAGAAAATTAACATTTTTTCTTCAGTGGAGAGAAGGAAAGGTCAAAAACAATTCAGGAAGTTAGAAATGGTAGATCAGGGTTCAGGAAAATCCCCCTTGACTGTGCTGCTCTACTATGACCCTGAAAGTCCTCCATTTGGCAGGCAGCAGCCTACCTAGTCTCTGTGCCATCATTCACTCATTGAACATCGTATATGTTGCAGGCATTGTTCAGGTGCTTGGGATACATCTGCAACTAACACAAACAAGGTTTCTTCTTTTAACCTCCCTGTAATGTGAATCTGAATATGAAGACGTAGCTTCTTGAAATGTATTATTTCCTGCTTTATGCAGTGGGAGCAAGGGGCTGATGCATTTCCCAGTGGCTTGGGGGTAAGGAGACGGCAGCACTCAGAGCTCCCTGGCTATGCTCATTAGGGAAGGCTCTGCCTGAGGAGTCCCTTAGTGGCAGTTCATATGATTACTAAAGATTATCTTTCTGAATCAAGATTGCTCTTCTGAAGCATGTTTGGGGGGAGTTCCTTGCAGGTGCTTTATTTCTCTAGGAGTTTCATGTTAAATATATTTGATATTGATGTAACTATTGCAACATAAATATTTTGCCTTAAAATAACAACCCTGGTTCCTTTTACATTTTTATAAAAAAAAAAAAGGATGACCCGATTTTATTTTCAAGGTAACAGGTGGAGGCTTCCAAATTTTCTACATGGGAGAAAGAAAAAGAACACCAAATGTTCTGTGCTTGCAGGAAAAACTCAAAGCATAGCTAATTCAAGCAATACCATTTGTTAATTTATCACAAGTGGGAGATACAAAGAGGACTTTTGAAATGAAGTCTAATAATTCCATATTAGGTGTGGTCCATGGTGCTGGCCATTTTTTACAGGTGAATTTTGTTCTTGTTCTTTGAAACTTGGTGGCTATTGAAAAGACTTTAGTGTTATTTTCCTATTAATTTAGACTCTAGGCTGCCTAATCTTATTGTTTCCAAAGTTGTAGAGGAAATTGTTGGCTCCCACTGGGAAAGAAAGGAAGACATTAGACGCTATCTTATAAAGGGAGCTGCATCTTCTTTTGAGATTCATGCATAGAAATCAATTGGGTAGAGAGCAATTGCACGGGATGCTAACAATGGTAGAGATGTTACCAGTCATCATTCTAAGTCTTCACTGTCTCCAAGCCTACTATGGTCCATACACACTATTTTTTCTCACTGTATTCTACATGCTGAGTGGACTGATCAAATTCAAGGAATAAACAGTCATTATTTATAGGGAACTTTTGGGATGGACTCTTATAGGACATAGGGTAATTCTTTGACCCCCTGCCCCCCCGCACAAAAATCTACCTAAATAAATCTAAGTATCTTTTGTTTATAGGAAGATTCTTATGAACAGCAAGCAGACTTTTAAAAACAGAAAAATTTCACTGTAGTGTGGATGCTTTGGGGCTTATACCATGAAATAATAAAGTCTGTATAATGTACTCTTAATTATGAGTTCATTTCTATGACTTTTTATTTCTCTCTCACTTCTTATTTTATATAAGGTGATTAATTATAGATTGACAATGAAAGAAACACAGACTTACATACCCACGGATTAAAGAAATCAGTCATTACATTTAATGGTGAGCCTAACAATGAGAGATGTGCTTCCCTTACGGTGTTTCTCGTTCAGGGTTAGTGTTAACTAGAATCCTGAGGGAAATTTGGCAAGGAGAATACTATTGAATTAAAACTTCGCTGAGTCTTAGTCCATTGAGCTTAGGAGCAAGAAAGAAAACCACATTGGTCAGTGTGGAGAGGTGTTAATAAAAGCATCCTTTGCTGTTTATCATTTCGTGGCTGACAGGCCTCCAATTGCGGGCGCCTAGAGCCTTAGCCGTGGCCCCCAGGTCACAGGAGCATGCTGTGATCCAAGAGACGAGGCTGAGCAGCCTTCATGTGGCAAATGCAGCAGGGCAGAGGCAACAGGGAACATTAAATGCATTTGCCATTGGGTAGGCAGCGTGAAGAGAGCTTTCATGAAGGTTTTAAAGGAGCTGGCAAAAAAAAAAAAAAAAATCACAGCTCCTCACAGACTTCCTCTCTGAGGAGATATCATGAAATAGATAAGGAGCCTCATTTGCAATAATTAGAGGCATAGTGTCCTCTATACATAAATGTTTTAGATTTCAGCCATGTAATGAGTTTGTTGTGAATATCAAGACTGAAGGAATGGGAGTGAATGGCTGCTCTGAATCCTGACACCAAAAAGATCTCAAAAGACAGTATAAGTGGTTCTGACAAGAAGACGGATTTCCAGGCCTTTTGAAAACCACATGAAATGAAGAAGAAAAAACCCATCCAAAGCATCACATTTTACAAACCACCACATGTGATGAGAGACATAAATGCAGCAAAATAACATAGGTACAAATGTGGACACAGAGTCCAATCTAGGTCCAGGTGATGCACAGTTTCGTTAGAGAGAAACTATCTAAGATACCTTGTCTTCTCCCCATGGCTTTCCCTGTGGAAAGTCTAAGAATTGTGACAAAGAAGTCTTTGCTTCTTTGGCTTTTTATGGAAATACAACTGAATTTGATTCAAGAAGTCGAATCTTATCTTCAAAGTTCTGAATAGGTTAGATTTGAGCTATCTCTTTAGGGAAGAATAATAATGAAACCACCAAAGTTTTAGAAATTGTAAACTCATTGGGTATAGCTTTTCAGGCCCTGGAGACCTGTTATGTTGATGATTTTGAGTCAGGACAAAGAATGCCTGTGCTTGCACATAATTAAGTGTGCTTAGAATAACCACACCTTCTAGGCCTACAAACAAAAGCATCATCAACATCATATTAATTACTATTATTTTCATGTCTCTCAGAGCCCTGTATGGCAGTTTGCAAACCAGCGTCCTTGACTTTGCTTCCACATAGACATTAAAGCTTTCTGGTCAAAAGCCCTTTCGTTATCACCCTGGAGAAAAACCTGTAGTTTGGCAATATTGCTCAAGAAAAAATATTTTACCTCTTCATTATCAGGTCAACCAAATTTAGCATTTCAAGTGACCTTTACAGAAAACTATTTTAAATTGTGATAATTGCACTTTGGTTGTCTGGAAAAAATCTATAATGTGCAAGTAGAACATTTGAATGTTGCATATATCACCTTATATTGGAATTTAAATGCATTATCGATTCCAATATTAGGGGCTAATAAATTCTATGAGTGGGTTAAGTGGCATTACATGTTCATTGATTCTCTAGAATCTTCAGCCAATATTGGAAAACATGGAACAGGTTTTACCCTTGACCTAGTATGATAATAAATTGAGGAGTTGTCCTAATACTTATAAATATTTAAAAATACAGCAACAATCCATTATCCACAATTCCAAGGTCTCAAAATTTCTGAAAACTGTAACAACTGACTTGGTGGCAAAACTTAAACTAAGTTTCTGGCAGCGCAACCTAACACAACCTAGCCTTACTGACATAAGAATATTTACAGTCTTTAATTTATTCAATGTAAACTTTAATAAATGTTTCTGTAGAAATATCAGGGTGCTTTATTACAGAGTACTGCATTGGAGTTGCCATGTAATAATATAAAGAACACTTACTCTTATATCTTTAAAACCCAAAAAGTTCTGAATCCCGAAATGTGTCTGGTCCCAAAGTTTTGTTGAGGAATTGTGGACTTCTTTAACCTGTGTGTTAGGCATGAATCTCAGGGCCCAAGCTATGCTATGCAAAAACATTCCTTTGGATGTTTCTTTTCAAACAACTTAAAGTTGAATCTGAGTCCCCCAAAGTCATGGCTGGAACACTCTGTCCCGTCTATGTAACCCCCAGTTGAAGAAGACATACCAGGTGCCCACAGATCAGGACAAGTTCTTCTAATCTCCACTCCATCATAGTTGCCCCTTAGTTCTCCCTACAGTAACAAAATCATCCTGATTTGCCTAGAACTTTCCTAGTTTTAACAATGAAAGTCCTGTATTCCATGAATTACCCCAGATAACATGGGACAGTTGTTCACTCCAGCCCTTCCCCAAGCCTGCCAGCGTTTTGCTGACTCTACCTTTTTGCTTGGGTCTTGCTCTTTTGAGGTACACCATGCAGTTTGGAGGTCTGTTGCTTCCTTGAGGCACGGTAAGGAGTGGTTCCAATTTGGGGTGCTCACGGGATCCACAGATCTCTCCTTTCTTTCCTCTGCCTCCCCATCTCCTGATCTGCAAAAGACATGCACTTTCTCTCAGCCCCTCACCAAGACGTCTCCCATTGTCTTTCAGTGGGCTCATTTTTACACAAACAACAGGAAGAACACTAAATTGAGATGGCATCTGCTTTCTTCCCAGCAAAAATACCTGAGGCACAGAAACCCAAAAAGCCTACTTAAAGTTGAGGAAGGGGAATACAAAGAGAACAAGCCCAAATTAATACATTAATAAACTGCCCAGCCACACATCGTCTGTTTTACAGAGGCTCCCTTCTTCATTAATTCGACAGATGGTGAAGCCTTTAGAGGGAGCACCTTTGTTCTCATAAACCCTTCTTTTGGACAATTACACTTCTTTAATTGTTGTATGCTTTACAACACTCTTTCACATACATTATCTCATAGTAGGGAAAATATTATTATCCTCACATGTAGACGGAGAAAGAAATAAAGACCTGAAGGAGTGTAAATGATGTCATCATCAGCACCCCTCAATCAGTATTTTTTGGCAACTCCATGCAAACAGTTTTTAAAAGTCTCAAAAGCCAAATATCACCATCCTGATAGCTGCTTTGGTTTCATAAATTCAGAGGCTTTTTCTTTTTAAAGTCTTTTGAATGAGTCTCTAAGGATTGATATCCTCAAATAATATTTGCATTTGGCCCTGTATAGTGGATACAAAAACAAAAACAATCAACAAAAAAGAATACTGCTCTTTTACTCTTGTGAGGACAACAAAACCTTAAATGCATCTAGACACAAAAACATTTTCAACACACAGTTCATAGGAATGTCACCCAGATGCAGTAACTGAGAGACAAATGGGATTATTTGATTTGGAAGAAAGTGCATCGGTATTGTGATGGTAAGCCAGCCTCCTCCATTGCCACTTTGTTTCTTCCCAGCAGAATCACAAATTCATTTAGGTACCTACTCCACCCCATGAACCTCAGGAGAAGCTGAGTTCCAGGAGTGGATGTTATTGGTCTAAACCTAGCATTATCTCTTTTTTCCAAGAATTAGCCAGAAATTCCATGTCACCCATTCTGGTCAGTAGGATGGAAGAAACGATTTTCTGGAAGTTTCTGGAAAAGCTTTTACACACGTAAGACACAGAAATACAGTTTCTCTCTTCCAGCTGATGGGAGTGAAGATGCTAGTACTTCAAGCCCTCCTGGTAGCCATCCTAGATCCTGATGGACCTGCCTGAGATGGTATTGATGGGAGGATAGAGAGGAAGAAGTTCCCAGGTCATTGATAAAATCACTGGGCAACTGGGTCAGCCAATTCTGAAGCTTGTCTTACCTCTGGACTTTCTTTTATGTAATCTAACACTTGTCCTAATTATTTGAGCCAGATAGAGTTTGGTTTTCTGTTCCTTGCTGCCAAAAGCATCCTAACTGACACAAAGAATTATTCCTCTTCCACATTTGTCTTCCTTTCACAGATGAAGAAATAGGGACCCAGAGAAGCCATATAATGTATGCCAAGGTCACACAACCATGATTAAATGCCTTTTTTGTGTGTGAGATGGGGTTTCACTCTGTCACCCAGATTGGAGTCCAGTGGTGCAATCTCAGCTCACTGCAACCTCTGCCTCCCTGGCCCAAGCGACTCTCATGCCCCAGCCTCCTGAGTAGCTGGGACTACAGGCATGTGCCACCACACCCAACTAATTTTTGTATTTTTGTGTAGAAATGGGTTTTGGTCATGTTGCCCTGGCTGGTCTCGAACTCCTGAGCTCAGGCAATCCACCCACCTCAGCCTCCCAAAGTGCTGGGATTACAGGCGTGAGCCACTGCACCCAGTCTGTTTAAATGCCAACTTTATAAACCTAAGATTAGTTGTAAAGGAAATTTTAGAGATGGCTTTCAACATAAGTTGGGTAGCAGATTTATAACAAAGTTCTGGCTGACATTTAGAATAGTGATAAGCTGAGTAATAATATTCAACAGGGAATCTCAGATAACTTCAAGGGGCCTTTTGGAGTCCTGGTGTTTCAATCCAGAAATTCCTTATCCTCTCAGCATTACGTCTGCCAAGCCTACACACCAAGAAACCTGGCCCTGGGATGTTCTAGACAACAAGAAGTTCCATTTAACCACATTCCTTTAAAGTCAAGGGCCAGACTTAGGAAGCCAGCTTCTTGCTTTCTCTCTTCAAGCCCCTACCCGGGTACTTCTAGAGTATGAGAATCAAGGTGCCCAGAAAACAGAAACCAGCAGCCCAAATTGGAGAGAATTTAGACCTTAAAATCTTCATGGGCTCAAAAATTTTCTCATTAGTATCTGCCTTCTGATCATAACGGTCCCAGAAAATTCAAAACATGTCTTGCGGATCTGAAGCCACCCTGCATCTCCAGTGTTAGCGTAGCTCAATCCCCTTTTGTTTTCTACGTTCTTCTCCTTCTCTTCTACCGTCTTTGTCCACACCTCCCACATGTCCACCATATCCAGCCTGGGAAAGGTGCAGCCATGGCTGGGCACGGGAAGGAAAAGGAGGAGTGATGTGCCGTCCCCTCCCCGAAGTCTCAGCCCCAGGGTGGGGTATTATTCTACTTCCTAATCCTTACATTTCTGCAGTGGTTCCTGTCTCTAAAGTCTTCATGTCTCCCTCCACCATGTTTCTTGATGACACCAGAGTTTTATTTGAGAAACATGGAAAAACTGGCCAGTGAGCCCCTCAACCCCAAACCACACCCCCTTTGTGTGGCAGCACAATTAATACGAAGTCCCAGTGTTTGTGTCTGTAGCCTATATTGTTTGCCGTCTGCCTTTGGGAGAGGCAGACCTCCTTCAGGGTCTATCAGCGGCACTTTATTGTTTGTATCTTCTATTTAAATTTTTAATACGGATACATTGATAATTTTAATTAAAAATAACTTTCTGCATTACTTCACAACCTGTTTCTTTTTTTTAGTTTGCGGTAATATGTTGAGAATAGTATGTGATACCTGTGGCAGGAGAGAGGAGTAGATTCCTTTTAAGGCAGTTAGAGGAACTCCTTGTTGTTCAGGCAAGCACCAAGGCAAGAAGCAGTGACAATTTTTCACTGACAGTGCCCCAAACTTGCCCTGCAAAGCTTAAAAGGAGACGCTGCTCTTTGAGGTCCACTGCTTGAATCCAAGGCATGTGCTATGCTTAGTGGAGTGTGTTTAGAGCTCCTTTTTCCAACATGCCAAAAAAAAAAAAAAAAAAAAAAAAGATGCTCATGCTACTTCTTGCTTTCTGTCTATTTCTTTCTTGCCCTTAGGCTTAAAAGTAAGCATGATGGAGAACAAGAGAGAAGGCGTGCCCTGGCAACCATTGCCAGGAAACAGATTTCACTGAAGTCATAAATTAGAAAGATAACCCACTTACCGGAGGTGGGTTCATATGCAATGCTGAAAAATCTGCCAGTATAGAGAATATTGCTACCTTTAGCTTCAGTTTTTTTAATCACTCATGTTTGATAATTATAAAGATGTTTAAAGAGGAAATCATGATGTATAATCCTATCACTGTGTAAGCTCTGCTGATACTTTTTCTCATATAAATGTTTTCTTATGTAAAAATAATAAATACACATGGTAAAACAAAAATCAGACAGAAATATACAAAACAGAAAGTAAAAGTCTACTTAACATATGCTTCCTGCTTTCTTTATTTTTTAAGCTTAAATTTGCCAAAGGAGCTTCCTACTTTCAAAAACTTCTTTACACACACATATATAAATGTGTGTTCTTTTTTATTATTTATGTAAAAGAGATAATGCTGCTCACTTTTTTGGTCTTATATCTTTATTTTTCACTTTTTGGAAATCTACATCAATATTTTAATTCTGCTCTATGACTACATCATATTTTATTGAACCAATCTGCTTTGCAAATGAATTGGTGGATATTGTTGTCAATGAATGATTAAAGGACTTCAACACATTAGAATTAAAATGAAGCTATGAAATCACCTCAATTACCATTTATGAATTTATTATCTCTACTTAACAAGTGTTTATTGAGCACCTAGTATATACCAGACATTTTCTTAGGTGCCAGGGATGTAAGCAGGATAATCATCTCTGAGTCAAATGGATCATAGCCTAAGTGGAGGGAGATAGCTCAGCAAATCAATAATTACTGTCACTGCTGAGATATGAATAACAAAAAATGCTGTAGCCACTGAGATTAGAAGCCCAGTGTAAGCTAAAGTTAAAGGGTTAATGAGGAGAAAATCTTGAGCAAGCCACATGTGGGAAGGCTTGAAGACATGAAGTAGCACAATGTATTCATGGAGGTGCAAGAATTTGGGGGTGGTCAGAGCACAAGTTTCGTGAGGGAATCCAGCCTAGGCAACAGAGCAAGAGCCCATCTCTAAGGCCTTTAAGCTAGAGACAGAGGCTGGGGTCAAAGCCATACCACAAACTTTATCCCAAAAGCCATAGGGAGTCATTGAGGTTTTAAGTACTGTGGGGAGAAGGGAAATGGGAGTGATGTGATAATTTTTAAATAATTTAAGAAAAAAGCAAAAATTAAGGATTAAAATAGAAAAACTTCTGGCTACAAATTCACTCTCAGCATAGAGAAAGGAAATAAGAGCTAGATAAGAAAAATAAACGGGCTGCAGGTGCAGTGGCTTATGTCTGTAATCCCAGCATTTTGAGAGGCTGAGGTGGGAGGATCACTGTAGTTCAAGACCAGCCTGGGCAACAAGGTGAGACTCTGTCTCTATAAAAATAAAAATTAAAAAAATTAACTGAGCATGGTTGCTCATGCCTCTAGTCCTAGCTGCTTGAAAGGCTGAGATGGGAGAATCGCTTGAGCCCAGGAGTTTGAGATTATAGTGAGCTATGATTGCACCACTGCACTCCAGCCTGGGTAACAGAATGATGAAAACCCATCTCTTAAAAAAAATGAAAGAAGGAAGGAAGAGAGAGAGAGAAAGAAAGGAAGGAAGGGAGAAAAGAAAGAAAGAAAGAGAGAGAGAGAAAGAAGGAAAAGAAAGAAAGAAAGAAAAAGAAAGACCAAGCAAGCAGGGAGGGAGGGAGGAAGAAAGGAAGGAGAAAAGAGAAAAGGAAGGAAGGAGAGAGAGAAAGAAAGAAGAAAGGAAAGAAAGAAAGAGAGAAAGAAAAGAAAAAGAGAAAAAGAAAGGAAGGAAGGAAGGAAGGAAGGAAGGAAGGAAGGAAGGACGGAAAGGGAAAAGAGAAAAGGAAGGAAGGGGAAAAAAGAAAAGAAAGAAAAGGAAGGAAGGAAGGCAACAACAACAACAAAAACAGATTTCAAATGAAAAGTGAGTACGACAGGATACTGAGAGTATGAGCAAGATAACAAATTATTAAAGGATAGTTAAGAAAGGTAAATTAAATTTTTGATACAATATTCTAACTTAAATCATTCTAATGAATTTAATTCTCAATAAATATACTTCATAAAATCCATCAGGTAAGATGATCTTTGGCAAAGAAAAACTAGGATCCTTCTGAGTGGTGCACTGGAGCCAGCTAAATTGGTCATGGTAGGAGTATTTATACCATGGAAACTGGCCAACACACAAATCAGTTTTGGTTTTGCTTTTGTTTTCCCCAAGAGTGCCTGTTGTTAAACATTTGTCAGCACACTATTGAACCCTCCTTGAGTGAAGCAACTAGGAATCATTGAAAACATCCACAATTTAATTTCTTCCAGAGACACCAAACTATTTCTATGCCTCCTCCCAATCCCCTCAAGTCCTAAAACCTATTTCATTGTCGAGATTATCAGCACATCAAAACATGTATTGTAAGTCACATCATTACATTTGCAAGGAGATAAAGAAATTAAAAAGCATAAGCATAAAGACAGGTCCTATGACTCTTGTTGCCCAGCCCTGGTGAAGACTAAGAAGCTGATAACTAGTGACAACTCTCCATTTTAACAGCCTGTTTCCCACAGGTGAAAGGGACCCATCATAGGCCTGCAGTGATTCTGATGACTCACAGGAAAGCAGTCCAGCTTGTTTGGCCAGTTCTTGGGTTATTGGACAGTCATGAATAGCTTTGGAGCTACTAAAGTCTCCTCTGGTGCCCTGAAGCTTCATTACTTCCATGAAATTCAGAGAGAGGTATTTATTTTACTGTTACCACTTTGGTATCATTTTATGGTTTCTCTTTCCAGAAACTTCTGTGCCAGAGCCAAAGTAATGGGACTGGATCTGTCTTTTTTTTTTTTTTTTAAGTGTTCATGATCATGCAACAGATACACCCACAACCAGTGAGTTTCAAAGCCAAAGGAAAACAACAGGCCTTTGATTAGGCTGTACCTACTCCAGTGCAGGAGGGCACCGCAGCAGCTGGGGGAGCCTGGCTTCACCACCTCTTTTCATTCTCCAGAGATGGGTGGAAAACAGTGTGTGGGTTGGAATTAAGGAATTGGGTTGACTAGCCCAAGGCTGGTTGGGAGCCTGCAGTTCAGAGAGAGATTATTGCTTTATTGGCTCTGGTAAAAAAAAAAAAAAAAAAAAAAAAAATGTGACCATCTTACATCATCTCAGCAGGACTGAAAATTTCACATGATTATCAAAGTGCATGAAATGCTAGACAGATCATTGAATGTGAGTGGAAAGGGAAAGGAGGGGTTGGTGGAGCAGAGGTAGATGCCCACTTTCTCACCAAAAAGAGCATCAGGACCTACTAATGGGTGCAGGAAAGTGAGTCAGATCTGGCCTTAAGGAAGTATCCTGAGTACCCACCAGTGCTCAGTTTCCTTATTGATATATCACTAGATACCAGCTACCATGACTTCTCTGCTCCTTTCCTGTCAATGACCACCCAGCTGAACCCTGCTCAGAAAAACTCTCCTTGCTTCAAGAGGGATTGTGTGGGCTTAGCTCAGGTTCATGGAAACACCCTGCTTGTTTCTTTCCTGTGGAGTGGATGGTGAAAGGAGTTGTTAGCACCAGTCAGCTTTTTCTTATCAAGTAACTTCATTATTTCTAGGGCAGCCACATACCCTTGTTTGTCCCAGACAGAGGGGTTTCTGGGACGCAAGACTTTTACTGCTAAAATCAGGAAAGTTCCTGGCAAACGGGGATGAGAAGTCACCCTAATTGTCACAGTATCTGATGAGGTGCCAAATGAGTAAGGGACAGTCAACACTGATGAAGGTTGGAATTGGTAGCTGGGAGTTTTGTACAATGCTGTGTATTTTACAATGCACTTTCACACACACTATCTCATTTTAATCTTATAACAAATTAAAGAGGGCAGAGGAGGTATTACTATTGCTTCATGTTGATGAAAAAATTGAGCCACAAAGATTAAGTGACTAGCTCAATGACACAGAGCTGGTTAGTAGCACAAAATTCGGGTGTTGCTTCCAACTCTCTGTGGAGTGAGATAGGAAGCAATTGATAGCTGGAGTCTGTGTTCTTTCTGCTGTACCATGTTGTCTCTCCAGTTATAGGGAGAATGGAATTCCTTTTTCTCTCATCACTTGCCTTTGTTTTTTCTTGTTATGATGCTCTGTTGTAGAGTGACAATCTTGCAGTGAAGAATAATTCAATGGAAATTCATAGCTTTGTCCCCAACCACCAACAACCAGGAAGCACAAATGCTCAGACATTAGCTGTGACTTCTACCCAAAGGCAAGGTAAAATGTCATTGCCAAGGATTACATTCAAATGACCTCTAATGTGGTTTTCTGATGGAGGGAAGAACTGAAGACAACACTAGTTCATCAGAAAATGCTGAGTGGAGAATTGCAGAGGTAGGGAGAAGAGAGAGCTGTGCATCTTAAGGCAAGATGACAGGCTCAGAAGTCAACAGCCTCAAGCAGAAGCATGCAGGGTTCTGGGATGAGAAACATGACTCAGCATTTATCCTTTCCTATAAAACATAGCAGCGTGTTAAGGCTGCATTTGAAATTTTACACTAAGGCCAGTGATAATATCTAAATTACGGTCATGACATGCATAACTTGATATCAGGTAGACTAGAAATTCTTCCTAAAATTAGAGAAGTTACAACCAAACCCAAACCTATCATTTCTGTATCCAATGACAGTCACAAAAGTATGAATATCTATGAGGAATTATAATGAATCTAAAATTTCTCTGGCCAGTCCTATTTCTTTTAGAATGTCAAGCAGCATTTGATTTATGATAATGGCTCAGATTTTCAAGATTAAATTCATGTTGGTATACTGTCTTTTAAAGCATGAAAACCCATTTGCTACAGAATGATATAATCATAATCTGCACTATAAATGAAAAGGCTTTATGTTGGCAAAACAAACATCTCTGAGATGCAGTAGAGCGATATGGTATACTGGTATGTACGGCGTGAAGAAAAGAGCTAGGGTTTTGCAATCAGCAGATTCAAGTTGAAATTCCAGTTGTGTTAGTGTGTGATGTTGGATGTTAAGTCTCAATTTTTTCATCTGTAAAATGTAAATCTTGTAGATTTGTTGTACTCTTAGATTTGTGGCCTCATAGATTTGCCTCCTCAGCTTCCTCTGTCTTGTTGCTTCTGTGGACAGCACATGGAACAGGGAACACAAGAAGGTTTCAAAAGATTTAAAATCATGGTTTTTAACATGTCTAAGATGTTATATGGTAAACTCCTTCCACCCATCAGCACTATCTCTCCTATACCAGGAGTAAGCCATAATATTTGTTTTACAAACTGCAATACTTAAATGCTTTTGGAGCAATTGAAATGCTTAAAAAATAGAAAAAACATCTCCAGTTCACCTTATCAAAAGCTGCAAGGACCCCTTCTTCCTTTATATAAAAATATTGACACACCTAGGCACACTAAGGGGCGTGTGAGATAGATTGGCAATTCAGATCTCCTGGCCCTTCACACTGGTCAATACCCACTTAATGCCACACTTGAGGCTTTTCCTCACATGCAGGGAAGCTGTAAGAGTTTAAATGACCTAATGGCTATAAAAGTTCCTAGAAGGGTACCTAGCTCAAAACAATGCATTCTCCCTTCCAACTTTGTTTTCTGGGTTCCACAGTTATTGAGACATTTTCCATTTGATATCACACAATTTTTTTTTTGCCAGTGTACCCAGAAGAATGCACTCTGATGATTCTATGTGTTTTTAGAAGGAGGGCCGAAGGACGCAAATTTTATTCAGTTATCTAAAAGTCTGACTGCCTGAAGTGATATTATTATTTCAGTTGTTAGAAAACTACGTAAGTATAGATAAGATAAAAATTGAATCATGTTGATTCTAGTCATCTATCAGCTTTTTTGTAGTAGTGATTTAATATTAACTTAATATTTTATGTTGTAAAAAGTTAGGAATCTTGTTTACATGTTAGAAATAGTTATGTTGCTGTCCTCCCTAAAATCCATAAAGCAGAAATTATATATAAATAAATTTACAGGTGCCTTTAGTCATGATGAAGGATTTCTCAGAATTCTTCTTTTCTTTTTTTTTGAGACAGGGTCTCTCTCTGTGTTGCCCAGGCTGGAGTGCAGTGGCGTGATCTCGGCTCACTTAAGCCTTGGCCTCCTCGGCTCCAGTGATTCTTCCACCTCAGCTTCCCTGGTAGCTGGGACTACAGGCACACAACACCCTGCCTGGCTAATTTTTGTATTTTTTATAGAGACGAGGTTTTACCATGTTCCCCAGGCTGGTATCAAACTCCTGGACTCAAGCTATCCTTCCACCTTAGCCTCCCAAGGTGCTATGATTACAGGCGTAAGCCACCGCACTCAGCACCTCAGAATTCTTGAATATAAAATTGCTCTGATTTATTTGACTATAGAAATGACTGAAAAATCTCAGCATTTTAAACTTTTTTTGTATACCCTGTTTCTAACTGCACTAAGATAAACAGTACAGTTATGTGTGTATATTTATATATTTTTTCCATGTTGGGGTATTTTCTGATCTTTCTCTAAAAAGCCATATATGACAATTAGCAGTAAGATGGAAAAGATAAAAGATATATTTGAGTTAATTTGGATAAAAAATAGACTTTTCTATTTAAGATTTCAAAATATTAATGACCTAAAACAAAACAAATTTTGCTGTTGGTCAGTTTTACTCTGGTTGAAGTAATGCATATTAGAAATAAAAGAAATCTTAAATAAGGACCATCTTCTAAATGTTAGCCAGGGGAGAAAAAAATAACAATGAGTCTTATCTACTGTTAAAGACTGTTTGTATCCTCCCAAAATTAATCTGTTGAAGCCCTAACCCCCAGTGTGATGGTGCTTGCAGATGGAGCCTTTGGAACATAATTAGGTTTAGATGAGGTCCTGAGGGTACAGCCCTAATCCCATGATATTACTGCCCCTAGAAGAAGAAACACTAATGAGTTTGCTCTCTCTCTCCACCACGTAAGGACACAGCAAGAAGGCAGCCATCTGCAAGCCATGAAGAGAGCCCTCACCAGAAACAAAGCATGCCGGCACCTTGATCTTGGACTTCTAGACTCCAGAACTGTGAGAAAATACATTTCTGTTGTTTAAGCCACACAGTCTGTGGTGTTTTGTTACAGTGGCTTGAGCAGATTAATCTGTTTACCAAAGGGAAGATGGACGTACACGCTATGGCTAGGAAGGAATGATAACTTATCATTGAACCTAAATGTAGGGGATGTCCTGCCTAAAATTTTGACCATGCTTTTATTTGTGTGTATGTATTTTTGTTTTGTTTTGTTTTTGCTCCTGGGTCAGCCTTGGGAGGGTAAATCACTACTGAAAGAAACATGGCTTTGTCCCCCAAAAAAGGATGAACATGTAGACCCTCTGGGAGTAATCAAGGCCTAGTATTAAGGAAAGACAGGGAAAGGTCAGGAGGCCTTTACTTCTGTGAGTGTCTGGAACCCAAAAAGACAATAAAAGCCTGCTGCGGATTAGGGCCTCAAAGTCAGTAGCTTCCTAGCCTCATTCTTGGAATTTACATCCCCAGGAAGAAAAAAGGGTTGCTGGTTGGGAGTCCTCAAATGGTAGGCTATTAGGCCACTTGTGACATGGCACTCTTGAGACAACTGGTGCATTGGAGGATAGTTTCAAGGTAAACAGTGAACCTGGAGCTCCTTGCCTAAGCTTGGATTTGAGCAAAAAAAAAAAAAAAAAAAAAAAAAAATAGCTTTGTTCAAAAATCCAAAATGGCAGAACCAGCTTCCTGAAAGACATGGCTCCTCATTTCCATCCACCCCCACAGACCTGGACCAGAAATATTCCTCAGTGCCCTTTAGATCTTATGGAACAAGTTTTCTTCAGTGATACCACATGTTGGTGAGAAGCTATGACAATAAATGTCTGATCTCTGCTTAGGTGTGGAAGTCAGACAAATTCCTCTATTCACAAAACCCCACAGATTGAGTGGCTTAATCTGTGTTTGCCTTTAGGGTTCTTTGATATTGAAAGACAAAGGGTAGTCTCAAGAGTAAGAGACTGAACTTGATAATCTCGCATGTGTGTGTTCAAGTTGATTTTTAAATTTAATTTAGAATAGAAAAGAAATGTGTATATCTCTGCAGTTGACAAATTTGGTTAACTACAGGCATAACTGTAGCAGTGTGTGCATAGTAATTGTCAGTAAGTGCCCTTTGAAAGATTTAAAGTCAAGTGGATGTTGGTTCAGAAAGGGATCATGGTCCATGTGTTTCTTTTCAAATGAATGAATGAATTTCTTTCCTGGCCGAGGTTGAGAGACTGCAGTGAGCTATGAGCTATCATCGTACCACTGCACTCCAGCCTGAGTGACAGAGCAAGACCCTGTCTCAAAAAAGAAAAAAAGGAGAATTTATTTCCCAAATGGTTAACATGCTGTTGAATATGAAAACTAAGTGAGACTGAAAATGACAAACTCATTTCTGTATTTGATCTTTTTAGCAATATTCTCAATTCCTCTCTCAAGCTACCTTCATGGAAAAATAGGAAAAACAAGTAAGATCTAACTCTGCAAAAGAATAGAGTTATAATTTTATTCACCATTTGTGAATCTCTATGAAAATGGAAAATCTGGTGAGAACAAATATAGTCAGTAATATCCTGATGAATAGATCAGGTATAAAATCTGGATACTAATGAACCATATTAATGTACCCAATTAAGTGTTTTAAGGTGAAAATCAATTATGCTTTCTGGTGTTGTCTTAGTTCATTCACGCTGCTATAACAAAATACCTTAGGCAGAGTATTAAAAACAACAGCAATTTATTTCTCACAGTTCTGGAACTTGGAAGTCCAAGATCAAGGCACCAACAGATTTGGTGTCTGGCGAGGGCTGCTCTGCTTCAAACATGGCACCTTCTTGCTGCATCCTCATATGGCAGAAGTGGGCAAATAGCTCCCTTCCACCTCTTTTATAAAGTCACTAACCCCATTCATGAGAGCTCTACCATCATGACTTAATTATCCCCTAAGGGCCCCAACTCTTAATACTATTACATTGATGATTCAGCTTCAATACATGAATTTTGAGGGGACACATTCAGACCACAGCTACTATTAAATGTTTTGAACTAGAATTAAGTTTTTTCTTACCTTTATGAACACGGCAACACTTTCAGATTCTACAATAATTTCAAATGAAAAAGAGACTGGTTTCAGCCACAAGTTCTCTTAAGCTCTCATATTGTTTGGCCACGTGTTGAGGTAAGGAGGTGATTGGATCAACGGGGGTGGTTTCCCCCATGCTGTTCTAGTGATAGTGAGTGAGTTCTCAAGAGATGTAATGGATCTGTAAGGTGCGCTTCCCACTTGGCTTTCTCTTCTCTCTCCTGTCGCTTTGTGAAGAAGGTGTCTCCTTCCCCTTCTGCCATGATTGTAAGTTTCCCGAGGCCTCCCCCAAGTTATGCAGAGTTTTGAGTCAATTAAACCTCTTTTCTTTATAAATTACCCAGTCTTGGGCAGTTCCTTATAGCACTGTGAAAACGGACTAACAGAAGCTTTTTATCTTAGCATCTCTTCACTTTCCTTCCACTCCACACCTAAATCCCACCCCTACTCCCAAAAATTTATTAAAAAAAAAAAAAAAAAAGCTTTTCATGCTTAAGGCCAGGTGTTCCAGACTAGCCTGGGCAACAAAGTGAGACCTTATCTCTACAAATAAATAAATGTTAAAAAACAAGTAGCTGGGCATGGTGGCATGTGCCTGTGGTACCAGGTACTTGGTAGACTGAGGCAGGATTGCTTGAGCCCAGGAGGTTGAGGCTGCAGTGAGCTATGAGCTATGATTGCACCACTGCACTCCAACCTGGGCAACAGAATAAGACCCTGTCTCTTGGGGGAAAAACAAGCTTTTCTAATGAACTCATTAGCATTAGTATTCTGGTAATATTCTTAAAGATCTGATTAAAAGACAGTATATAGATTTTAATAATTATAATATGAAGAATCTTGTTAAGACCAAAAGGTACACATTTCTTAAACCTCCAAAATCAATCTTCTTTCCCTAGGTTTTAAACCCATCATGTGTTATGTAAAACAAAACAAAAAAAAAACCTTAATCATATTTGAATAATAGTTAGGAAAATAAAATGGTGAGTACTTGGTTGACTTTTTGATGTGTAGGAAATATACTTGCACCCTGAAGAGTTGAAGCAATCTATCCTGTTATGCAAATGTGAAGGTTATGGGTAACTTATCTTGCCATGACAGAGTATTTTTTTAAGTTGTCAAAACTATTGTGGCCTTGACTATCCACAGACATTTAATGCATCTGCAGATTAGCAGGTTAATAGTTCTCAATCTGCCATCCCTATTCAAACACAAAATCTAGGTCTTGTCTAAGAGTTATTAAATTGGCATTTTGTCTTGTCTTGTGAATTAGCTCATATTCACACATTGAAATCTCAGATCATATCTGTAGTTGGCAAGGAAAACAGTAACACTGAGCCGTGCTGTTAAAAGGTAGATGACCTGTTAAAATAAGGAATAAACAAAGAGATAAAAAAAAAAAGAAAGAAAGTTTCTGCTCTTTTTGAAATCCATGTTCTCTTAATATGATTCAGCCTTGTTTTGTGGCTGGTGAAGTGTTTCGCATTTGTAAATTTGGGCTCAATAACTGTTTAGCTCAGAAAAGCCAACTGTATGTCATTAATTGTTGGACTGTTTACAGTAGTCTCATTTCTAACTGGAAAAGGCCCCTGGAAAATGTTTTCAGAATCCAAAAAGACAAATTGTTAATGTAGAGCATTTAAAATAAAACATCATTTTTCAATATATCAGTTGTTTTAAAGTATTTTCTATGCTGGCATTTGCAATGTATATCACTGTTGATGATAGGGTATCTTAATCCTCCTCTTATATATTGGAAATTTCTAGTGGCTTTCATTGTATCTATCTATATATATGTTTAATAAGGGTTGGCAGGTATTGCAATTTACATACATTTTACATAGAACTGATCAACTATGTTTTGTTTTGTTTCTTGAGATGGAGTCTCGCTCTGTCCCTCCTACTGGAGTGCAGTGGCGTGATCTCGGCTCACTGCAACCTCTGCCTCCTGGATTCAAGCAATTCTCCTGCCTCAGCCTCCCAAGAAGCAGGACCACAGGTGTTCACCACCATGCCTGGCTAATTTTTTGTACTTTTTTTAGTAGAGACAGGGTTTTGCCATGTTGGCCAGGCTGGTCTTGAACTCCTGACCTCAGGTGATTTGCCCCGCTCAGCCTCCCAAAGTGCTGGGATTACAGGAGTGAGCCACCACGCCTGGCCAGAACTAATCAACTATGTTTTTGTTGCATCTTTGCCTGTCTCTCCCACTGGGCTATAAGCTCCTTGAGACCGGGAATTGTGGCTTTGTCTTATATACTTCTGCCTAACACAATCCCCTTGTTGTTTGCATGCATTTGTTTTTCTGTAAACATTCATTGGATACTTGCTAGGTGTGAGGCAAGCTGCCAAGGTTTCTATTTGAGTTACCTCATACCCTCAGAACAACCTAATAGCTTAGGCATATTATTGCCCTCAGTTTTTTAGGTGAGGAAGTGAAGGCATAGAGAACATAAACTTTGACAGGTGAGTGGCAGCCTCAGGCTTCAAACCCAGGCAGCCTGATTTCAGAGACTTTGCTTTTACTTTCAGGACTAGTGCTTTACTAGTGAGAGAACGGAGGCGAGGATGGTCCTAAAAGGACGCTGAGGTAGATAATAGTGTTCATTTTCTTAAATCCTGAAGCCAGACCTTTGAAAGTGGTTGATTGTTCAGCCCGTCTTCATACCCCCAACCATTCTCTTATATGGCCTGTAATTTACTTGAAATACCTCTATGTCCACATTTTGTATACAGTTATACTCCCTAGATGCCTAGAATAAGATCTGAAGTGCTCCAATCAGAAATCCGTACTTTGAAGGTGGTTAGTTAAAATTGGAAGGATCTCAGTAAGGAAGTATAGTATTTTCTACACTCTAGTAGCAAGTATTTTAAATACTACTATACAAATATGCCCTCCAAGGGTTGATGATGCAACATAAGGATACTAGAAAGTGCTTTACTATTGGTGAAATAAGCTGTGTTTATGATACATGGTTACATGGAAAGATTTGTATAGAAAACTCCTTTCCTTGTATGAATAAGAAATGGGGATCCAGGTAGCCCTGTAGCCGAACACCTTTTATAGAGTGCCTAGGTCTAGAACTCTAATCGATCATGCCCCCCACTTTATGGAGGATTTTGTTGGCTAATCCACCTAGCTGATCCTGCTAATAGAATACATGTTGTGTTTGCTCAGGAGAGCTACTTTCATGCAAAGTGCTTGTCAGAACACCCAGAAAGTCAGAGAGCCATGATTTCACCAAGTTTACAAGAACTGGTTTTAGGGCTATGTTTTGTATACATGTCAAAATCTGGTCTGAAATTTGCTAATAGGAAAGTTGTGGAAACGCGGGGACATAAAATTCCCACCGTCTTTTGATTATCTGAAGCTACCAACAGTGGTAAATTGTAAATGGCCAAGGTGGCTTAGGGAATTTCACAAAACCTAACTTTCTTCTTTTATTGAGATATAAACCTTGGCATTATTTCCAGCATTTATGTCTCTTTAGTAAATAATAATTAACTATTCAAAAAATTATCCAGCCGGGCACGGTGGCTAACGCCTGTAACCCCAGCACTTTGGGAGGCTAAGGTGGGAGGATCACAAGCCCAGGAGTTCGAGACCAGTCAGCCCAATATGGTGAAACCCCATCTCTACTAAAAATACAAAAATTGGCCGGGTGTGGTGGCACATGCCTGTAGTCCTAGCTACTCAGGAGGCTGAGGTGGAAGAACTGCTTGAATTCAGGAGGTGGAGGTTGCAGTGAGCCAAGATGGCGCCACTGCACTCCAGCCTGGGTGACAGCGAGACTGTATCTCAAAAAAAAAAAAGAAAAAAAAAAAAGATTATCCATTGCATGATGCCGTTTACCTATTTTTGAAATTCTCTTACTTTGCACAAGGTCAAAGTTGTATAGACCATCTTTGTCTATTATAGGAAATCATACCTGGTCTATTATAGGGACATTTTTATGAATGTTTTCTGGAAGTATGAACAGATGATATAAGACTTATCCAGAGGGCTTACAAAAAAAGTGTTGACACTCTATGTCCCATCAAATTATTCTACAACAAACCAGGGATAGACAGCTGCAAATTTGAGCATTGAATGACAGAATTTCCAGGGACACCAGAAAACTCCCATGGCTTCCTTCTCCTTTCTAAAAAATGCGAATTTAGTGGTGAATAACAAAAGGAGGATTTACAAAGCTAGAGTTTTGATCCTAGTTGGGGAAATCAACTTCCAAAGGATGTTAGCAGAAACATCCAATAGTTCTTCTAAATGCATCTCTGCAAATTATTACCATTAAATCTATGTTAACTGAGGAAAAAAAATCTACCACTCAAGGATTCACATAATAAAGAAGATGAAATTAGAATATTCTGCTTTTCTGCCATGACTATTATATCTACCATTTGGCACAAATATTTCTTTTTTTAGTTTTCTTTTATTTTTAATTGACACACAATAAATGTACATATTATAAGAAACAGCATTTCAGTACATGTACATGTTGTGTAATTATCAAATCAGGGTAATTAGCACATCCATAATCTCATACATTTATTGTTTCTTTGTAGTGAGAACATTCAAAATTCTTTCTTCTAGCTATTTTGAAATATACAATACATTGCTGTTAACTATAGTCACCCTACTGGCACAAATATTTCTGTAAGGCTGTTTATAGTTTTTTATTTAGGTACATATTCCACAGATGTGGATTTTAATTGAAAAATCAGAACTGCTTATGGCTAGTGGAAAAAATACTACAAATTTTCAGGGCAACAAATCTCCAATCAGAAATTCCACAGTGATCTAATTATTGAAGAGTTTTTTGAGAAAGTCTTTCAAATGTGGTCTTTTTTGTGGGAAAGGATTTAGGGGATTTATCAGGTTAAAGCTATTTGGGTTCACACCTATGAACTCATGGCTAGAAAAGACTCTGAGACTCCTTTTTTATTCCTTTTTTCTAAATTAAAGTGTAATGCATTTGGGTCAGAATGTCACTGATACTGTCCTTCCTTAAACATGTATAGACTGGGAGATCCCATATCATCCTTTTATACCTGTGGAACATGCACCTTACATCTCTGTTTTTAAGCTTTACTTTACTTCATTTAGTGGAAATGTTTAAGCTGTGTTGCCATAAATTTGGACTTACTCTCTGGCTTAAATTAGGTTGCATTGGGAAAAGTTTGCAAAGTATTTGAAGAACTATAGTACTTAGTATTTACTAAGTAAACTTAAACATTGTTTGATTGTGATAAGCTATTTGATCCAACATACATGTATCAAATGCCTGCTAAGTACCAGGCACTCTGCCACACAAGGAGAACTTTAATGCATCCCTGTCCTTAAGGAGAACATCCTTGTTCGTCACCAGGAGAAAAGCTACAGCCTGAAGTAAACTCATCCTACCAAGAGAAGTGGAATGACTACATTTGAGCCAAAGAAATGTCAAACACAAGGGTTACTACATGCCACTGTACTGGTATTGCTTTATAATTTTGTTTCTCTCTTCCTGCCTGGCTAAGAGGAGAAAGAAGACGAACATTGTAGAAGTAAGTAATTGAAAGCAAAATCTTTAATGACTTTCTCCAACTCACTAGTAGGCTCCAGGTTAGAACACTTTTCCAGAAGCGATGAAGCTTACAGAAATGAAAATGTTAACATACCTTCAAAAACGCGCCACAACTGGTACTAGCCACAGTTGGTTTACAAGGAAATAAAAGCTAGAAAACAGGATTCCTAGCCCTGTGTTTCAGTGGTGGTGTAATTTTTGCATGAGAAAAAGTAACTCTTTATACCCGAGCTTTCCAATATGGTAGCCACTAGCCACATATGGCCATCTAAATTTAAATTTAAATTACTTAACATTAAATCAAATTAGATATTCAGTTCCTCCATCACACCATCCTCATTTCAGTGGATGGCACTCCAGAGCACACAGGGTTCCTGGCTACTGTACTGGGGACACAGATCACAGCACATTTCCATGATCACAGAGAGCTTGGTTGGACAATGGCTGCTTCACATCGGTCACTTCCAGATGTCTTAATTTGAAGAACAAGGTTCAAGGTGGCTTAGACCTCCTTATTGCTCCTCTGTGTGTATGAGTGTTCTAACTGAGTGGCTAGAGCTAATGCTTGTTTTCATGGTAGAGTCCAGGTGTTATCTATGGAAAGGTAAGCAGGTAGAGCATCTCTGGAAGCACCAACACTATCATTATTTCCCTTTTGCCATAGCTATTGAGGAGAAGAAAGTCTTAGTTCACAATGATGTGAGTAGTTACCTTTTCTCCAAATCCTCTGCTAGAAGAAACCCTAGATCCTAAGTCCACTCCTTCTGTGTCAACCTGGCTCACAGATCCAGCTCAGTGGTCACTACTAAAGGCACTACCCTCACTGCTGCTCCCAGCACTGCCCACCACCTATTTCTAAGGCTCTAGGTATTGACCAAACCATTGGTAATTCCTCTTTGGTTTCAGAGATATGGAAATTATTCAATTACAGAACCACTGAAAGAGTGAATATTAAAGATATCTATCAATTTGGGTGACTAGGATGTATTCTGAAAAACATTTGTGGTATCCGTTGTTCTCACCAAAATTCATCCATCATTTTAATTATCTGATGACTCTGTCTGGCACATTAGCAATACTATGTCTTGATCTATTTTGGAAACAAACACATGAACATCTTGTAGCAAGAGTGTAAGTATTCAAGTACTGATCCCTAGTACAATAGATAAAGTGTATAAGTACCTTTGTGTCCATTGAGATCAGGCTTTTCAACCATATGTGTCAAGATTAGGTCTGGTTTTATTACCAAATAACTTTCCCCAAAAAACTTGGTTTTCAGAGCTTATTGGATTTTGGAATTGCAGAGGTGGGAGTGCAGACCATTAGCTCCCTCTTATTTCTCTTTCAGTGTCTTCTCCTCTGAGAACTTTCTGTGACCACTTTCTCTGACCACCTACACTAGGACTACATTTAAAGAGCCTCCAAAGGCAACTTGCAATTTTCTACCATATGTTATCACAGTGCAAGTTCCTTAAAGGCAGGGATCTGTCCCTTTTTGTTTCCTGCTATGCCCCTATGTCGCCATACCAACTCAGTGCTGGCAAACAGTAGGCACTCAATAAATACTTATAGAATGGATGAGGGAGTGAGTGGATGTTGGATGAATGACTCCTGTCATAGCCTCCTAGCAGTGGCCTCTTTCCTCCAGTATCTTTCTATTTTAAATTATCCGTGGCAAGGAATCCGCTGTGTTTACTGACATCTGTTTTCTCCTGTTCATGGACACAGCTAGCCTACATTTCCCAGTCCTTGCTGAAGTTAAGGAGGTCATGTGACTGACTTCTTGCCAATGAACTGCAGGCAGAAAACATGCATGTCCCTTCATGCCTGCCCCGTAAACCCTCTACATGCTCTCCTCTTTCATCCCCTAGCCAAAGACAGAGGCTCCAGGAAAGAACTCTGAGGCTCTAGAAGATGGCAGAGCTACAGATGGAAAGATGCCCTGCAGGACTGTGTGTTTGTTTGCTACGGCTGCCATAACAGAGCGCCACAAACTGGGTGGCTTCAACAACAAAAATCCATTGCCTCAGTTCTAAAGACTAGAAATCTGAGGTCAAGATGTTTGTAAAGTGGGTTCCTTCTGAGGGCTGAGAGGGAAGGATCTGTTCTAGGCCTCTCTCCTGACTTGTAGATGGCCATCTTCATGTTCACATGACGTATTCCCTGTAGGTGTGCCTGTGTCCAATTTCATAGGAAAACCAATCCTATTGGACTAGGGCTCAATCTACTCCTGTATGGCCTCATCTTAACTAATTACATCTATAACAGCTCTATTTCCAAATAACGTCATGGCCTGAGGAACTGGAGCTTAGGACTTCAACATATGAATTTTTTCAACCAGTAACAGGCCACATAGAAGACCACTTGCCAAAGAAAGACACGTGCATTACATTTTGCATAAGACGGTTTATGTTAAGCCACTGAGATTCTAGGGGTTTCTGTCACGGCAGCTAGTGTTTCTTACCAACACTAAGACACCATCTCGTCACACTAACCTTGGCTTTGAGAGTAATAAAAATAATAATACACTTATATATTACACTTTTTGGAAATGCAAAAAAAAAAAAAAAAAATTAGGCTTCAAATCGTTCCTCAGCCTTCAGACTTATAATTCTGTCTAGACTTGCAGCATCTGATTGCTCCAGTGGATGGGCTGTTGTCTGGAGAGAGTCGCTCTCAGTGTGTGGTAGCCAGAGAACAGGCCTTGAAGTTGGGGGACCTGGGCTTCAGTTCTATCTCTGCCCCTAGAAATGCAGCATGACCTTAAGGCAAATCATGTTTTCCACTGAGCCCTTGTTTAGTCATTGGAAAAAAGAAAACAATCCTTCCCTCTTGGTGTTGTTGGGAAGATTAATCAAATTAAATTAATCTTCCAATTAGCACAGAGTCTGGCACGGAGTAAGTGCTTAATATGTTTTCTTTTTAAAACAAGAAGAGGCAGATTTTTTATCTGGGAACTGTGATCTCACCCTTCTACATTGGTGTTCAGTGTCTGAGGGACATAGGACTTGGCAGCCTTAGTAAGACAAACCTAGGGGCTGATATTTGGAGTGATGGCCTGAAGAAAAGGAATTATGAGTGTTCTATATGAGTCTGAGGGCCATACAAGGAATTTAACTCAATAAAGCTGTCCATCACTCAGTACTAACCAATGATGGGCAACATTTTAAGGCAAGGAGTTTTCTGTCCAGCTGGCTAGACCATGGCTCAAAGAGTGGTCCTGCTAGGCCTGGTTTCTGGGTGCCAAGAATGGCATGGGTTGACACACAGAGAGGCAGTTTCCTAAAGTTTGGGCTGTGGGTTGGTTTTGGTGGGGTGATTTTGATATGATTCAGATGAGTAATTGGAGTAGATTTACAGCACAGCCATTCTATGATTAGGACAGCAAGGTGCATTCGCATAGAGTTAGACATAAAACAGGTGCATTCTTATCGAGTATGAGGAAACAAAATGTTTGCTTGAAAATGTGTGTGCTCTGGGGAGAAACTGGAGGGGTGAGCCATGGCAGCATGAATGGCCATGATGGAGAGTAGGGAAGAAACCACCAAAGGAGAAGAGTGGGGGTAGTGTGGGCACTCAAGAGCACAATTCCCTGCCACACTTTTCATAGAACTGGTCCCACTCCCCACTCAGAAAGGGCAGAATATTTGTCAAAACATATTTTCACTGTCATGAGCCTTAGGTTCTCCAGTAATCACCCCATCAAAACCAACCCACAGCCCAAACTTTAGGGAATTGCCTCCCTGTGTGTCAACCCATGCCATTCTCAGCACCAGAAACCAGGGCCTGGTAGGGCCGCCCTTCCAGCCATGGTCCACACTGCAGGGCTTCAGACTCCCTCCGAGGCAGCATGGTTCTGAGAAACTAGAGGGCAAGCTGTTGATTCCAGACTTTAAGGACACAGAGTGGGAACTGCTGACTCCAACATTTACTAAGAGCTTGAGTGGGGATCCTTTGGAAAACCTCATAGTCAGTTAAACTCATCATGCCTCACTTTATTTTTACCCTAATGACTGGCTAGATATAAGCCTCTCTAACGTCTGTGCTCATCCCCAAGCTGCTCTGTGCTTCCTCTCTCCTATACAGCCTCCCGCTGCTGCTCCTTGTTCCCTCATCAATTTTTCCTCTGAACCATATGGAAACTCTCTCCACCATGGCAAATACATTCCCTACCTCCAGCTCCATGGCCTGATCGAACTCTGGCTCTCCCTACAATACACCCAGCACTTCTCTTGCAGTTTTTCTTTCTCACACACATATAAACAGCATGTACCCCCGAGGAGGTGGGTTGGGGACCAAGTATCCCCCCTACCCCCCACCAGCACCATTTCAGGATTATCACTTCTCTCCCATAGTATAAGAAATCCTGCTTCTGGGAAGGCTTGTGCCATCTGGCTCTACTTTCAACCACATGCTTAATTGCTCCATAAATGGTAGAAAGGACTAATTTTAGCATTTCTGTCATTTAGCAAGTCACAAATTCTGCAGCATGAATTAATCCCATTTAATCTAGATTGGTATCCTTGCTCTGTCCCTGACTAGCTATTTGACCTTTGGAAAAGTTATTTAACCTTTCTGAGCTTTAATATCTTAGAAAATGGGAGTAAAAATGCTTACTGAAGGAGATGACTGTGTGAGTAGAATGGCACAATGTACATGAAATCATCTTAAAAAGCATAAAATGTGAATTGAATTTGAATAGAAACATCTTTTAGGGTGTAAATATAACTCGCCCTGAGGTAATCAGGAGTTAGTTATTGCTATTTTAGTTAGTTAGCACTGTTTGGTAAAACGATTCTGTAGGATATGGTAATGCTGGATACATGTCGTTATATATTTGTTAAAATCCACAGAATGTGCAAGACAAAGAGGGAACCCTAGTGTGAACTATGGATTTAGTTAGTTAATAATAATGTAGCAATATCGAATCATCATTTGTGACAAATGTACCACACTAATGCAGAATGTTAATAATGGTAGAAGCTGGGGGAAGAGGAAGGGAGTATTTGAGGACTCTGGACTTTCCACTTACTTTTTCTGTGAACCTAAAACTGCTCAAAAAAACTGTTAATTTTTCAAAAGCTATTTATACAAAGCAGGTTTGTTCATGAGTTGATAATTGTTGAAGCTGATGATAGGGACGTGGGGATTCATTATACTTCTTCTCTCTAAGTCTTCCATGATAAAAAAATTTTAAAAAATATATTTGCTTCAACTGAGTCTCTGACTTAATCAACCAGAGAAAGATATCTGACATCTCCAAATAACAGGTGTTTAATTCGTCTAGTATTTATTGGCAGCCTGTTAGTCATCAAACTCAGTGTTCAACCAAGTGTAGGGGGTAGGTTCTAGAACACTTTAAGACAAGCTTATGCAACCTGCAGCGGGCCACAAGTAGCCCAGGATGGCTTTGAATGCAGCCCAATACAAATTCATAAACTTTCTTAAAACATCCTGAGCTTTTGTGTGATTTTTTTTTTTTAAAGCTCATCAGCTATCATTAGTGTAAGTGTATTTTATGTGTAGCCCAAGACAATTCTTCTTGTTCCACTGTGGTCCAGGGAAGCCACAAGATTGGATGCCCCTGCTTTAAGACATGTTGAATTCCTCTCGCAAAAGTTTAAATCTTGTTGCAGAGGCAAGAGAGCTACTTGTGAAGTAAGTGAGCAACACCAGAAAACAACCTAGTAGAGAACTTAAGTCCATGGCACAGAAAATGGAAGTTCTAGCAGAAGCCTCAGTAAAACGGAATAAAAATTCGATCAATAAACCTGAAAGTTTCTCAATTATCAGAATGTTAGGAGTTCTGTCAGCAAAAATATAGGGATTTTTGACTGACTTTGAGGCATAGATTGTCATATTCTGTTCAGCCTGGATATTTTTTTAACTCCAAAATAAAAGAATGATGCTAAAACCATGCAGCAAGAGCTCATTCTTGAACTGAAAGGAAAAGATGAAGCAATGTAAAAGCATGCTTTAAGAGCTGAGTTGTGCCTAGAGTTGGGCTGGATGCTGTCTTTTGGGCAGAGAACAGTGCCAAGCATTGAGTTGTCAATGAAATGATCATTTAGGTGGTTACTGGTCTTAAGAATATTAGTGCGGGCTCTGTAGAGAGTTCAAATAAGGAGAACAGTTTTGTTTCTGACTAGTTTAAAATAACAACATGTTTCTGTGCATATATGTTTGATAGATGCATTTTGGAATTTCTGAAAAATTATCGAGACCTTAGAGAGTACTTATCGTAAACTTTGCCTTATTAGAGAATTAAATGATGGATCTGCATGAGATTTTAATGTTAATTCTCACA